>NW_016107309.1:0-161095 GCF_000001405.40 Homo sapiens | reverse complement strand
CGGGAATTTATCCTCCAGTTAGGAATGCAGGCAGAAAAAACACTGCATGTTTCCTGAGAAGGATGTCAGATTGGCAATTATTCTTCTAGCTTGTAGGAGGTCTCACCTGCAGGAAATTAAAGGTAAAGAGACTTCGCTGAGCCCTTTGGTGGCCCTAGATCCCTTTCACTGTTGGAGTGTCTGGAGTTCAGAGATGGTGGAAGACAGGCCCTCATTCACAGAGCTGGGAGGTTTGAGCCAACACTTGCATCCAAGGCTTCCACCTCCCCAGGTTTCCAAAAGCAGAGATAAGAGGGGTCCTTTACTCACCAGATTTGGAGCTTGGTTCTGTGGGTGAAGGCCAACTACTTGAAGGGTTTCCTAGAACACGGGACAGGAGAGATGTGAGGAAATGAGGGTGCTTGTCCTCTACTCAATGGAAATCTTTGAGGTTGGTTCATGGCCAACACTCTGTTATCTAATGTTGGACCCTGGGAGTCTTGGGATCCTTTTCTCCATAATTTTTGTGTGCGATGCCCACTGTCTTGAGACTTGAAGGTATAAAGAGAAAACAGGAGCATCACACTACCTGACTTAGAAATATGTTACAGAGCTGTAGTAAGCAAAACAGCATGACATTGGCATAAAGAAAGGCACATAAAAAATGGAACAGAATGGAGAACACAGATATAATCCATGCATTTACATCCAATGGCTTTCTTTTGTGTGTGTGTGATGGAATCTTGCTCTGTCATGCAGGCTGGAGTGTAGAGGTGCAATCTCAGCTCAATGCAACCTCCACTTCCTGGATTCAAGAAATTCTCTTGCTTCAAACTCCTGAGTAGTGGTATTACAGGCACTGATCACCATGCTCAGCTAATTTTTGTATTTTTAGTAGAGACGAGGTTTCACTCTGTTGGCCAGCCTGGTCTTGAACTCCTGGCTTTAGGTGATCCACCCGCCTCGGCCTCCCAAAGTGCTGGAATTGCAGGTGTGAGCCACCATGCCCAGCCCATTTAATGGACTTTGACAAAGGTGCCGAGAACTTACAATCAAGAAAGGACAGTCTTCAATAAATGGTGTGGGGAAAACTGGATATCTACATGCAGAGGAATAAAACTGCATCTATACCTGTCACCTTACACAAAAATCAAATGAAAATGGATTAAAAACATGAGTCTAAGGCCTGAACCTATGAAACATGTAGAAGAAAATAATGGGGAAGACATTTGTCTGACGAAAGACATTTTGTTTAAAACCTTCAAAACACAAGTAATCAAAGCAAAAAATAGACCATTAGGATTACATCAAACCAAGCAACTTCTGCACCACCAAAGATAAACCAACAAAGTGAAGAGACAACCCACAAAATAGGAGCAAATATTTGCAAACTATTCATCTGAGATGGGATTAATAACTGGAAATATAAGAAGCTCAAACAACTCAATAAAACAATTTAATTAAAAAACGAGCAAAAGACATGAGGAGACATTTCTCCACAAACAAAACATAGAAATGGCGATCACGTATATGAAAAAGTGCTCAGCATCACTCATCATCACAGAAATGTAAATTACAATCGCGATGAGTTTTCATCTCATCCCATTAAAATGCCTTTTAGGCCGGTGGCTCACGCCTGTAATTCCAGCACTTTGGGAGGCGGAGGTGGGCGGATCACCTGAGGTCGGGAGACCAGCCTGACCAACATGGAGAAACTCCCTCTCTACTAAACATACAAAAATTAGCTAGGCGTGGTGGCACATGCCTGTAATCCCAGCTACTTTGGAGGCTGAGGCAGGAGAATCAGTTGAACGCGGGAGGCAGAGGTTGCAGTGAGCCGAGATCACACCCTTGCACTCCAGCCTGGGCGACTATGAGTGAAACTCCATCTCAACATAAATAAATAAATAAATAAATAAAGTAAAATGGCTTTTATCTGCAAGACAGGCAAAACAAATGCTGGCAAGATGGTAGAGAAAGGAGAACCCTGGTACCCTGTTGGTAGGAATGTAAATTAGTACAACTATTATGGAGAAAAGTATGGAAAAACTTTAAAAAACTAAAAGGAGGCTGGGCATAGTGGCTTATGCCTGTAACTTCAGCACTTTGGGAAACCGAGGCAGGCACCTCACTTGAGGTCAGGAGTTTGAGAGCAGCCTGCCCAAAATTGGGATATCCCGTCTGTGCTAAAAAATACAAGAATTAGTCAGGCATGGTGGCGTGCACCTGTAATCACAGCTATTAGGGAGGCTGAGTCAGGAGAATCGTTTGAACCTAGGAAGCAGAGGTTGCAATGAGCCAAGATCGCACCACTTTGACTCCAGCTTGGACTAAGGAGGGAAACTCTTTCTCAAAAAAGAAAAAAAAAAAAGAGAACTTTCATAGTGTCCAGCAATTTCACTACTGGGTTTATATCCAAAGGAAAGGACATCAGTGTATCGAAGTGATATCTGCACTCATATGACTGTTCCAGCACTGTTCACAGTAGCCAAGATGTGGAGTCAACCTACCTGCCTATCAGTGGGTGAATGGATAGAGAACTGTAGTACACACACACGGTGGAGACTACTCATCCATAGAAACAATAACATCCTGTCATTTGCAGCCACATGGATGGAACTGGAGGTCATTACAAAGATTCCCATTTCTCACCACATGCAGGAGATAAAAGGTGGATCTCATGAAGGTAGAGAATAGAATGGTGGATACCAGAGGCCAGGAAGGGAAGGGTGGAGGGTAACAAAAAAAAGAATATAGATGTATTTATTTATTTAGAAACAGAGTCTCTCTCTGTCTCCCAGGCTGCAGTGCAGTGGCATGATCTCGGCTCAGTGCAACCTCTGCCTCCTGGCTTTAAGTGCTTCTCCTGCCTCAGCCTCCCAAGTAGCTAGGACTACAGGTGCATGCCGGCATGCTTGGCTAATTTTTCTTGTCTGTTTAGTAAAGATGAATTTCCCGCATGTTGGCCAGGCTGATCTCGAGTCCCTGATCTTAAATGATCCACCTTTCTTGGCCTCTCAAAGCGCCAAGATTACAACCGTGAACCACCACACCCAGCATATAAAGGTATTTATGACCACTAGATTTTACTTTTAAAAATGGTAAAGTTGGTAAATTATATAGTTACATTTAACCTCAATAAATATTTTTGAAAATGAAAAGAAAAGAGTGTAGGGGTTGCTGGTGATGACATCTCTCTGTGTGGGTGAGAGGCCAGGATGGGCTTCTGGGAAATGGGTAAGGTTGAGGGGCTGAGGGAACCTCTGATCTCCCCAAACTGAGCCCAGTCTCCCCTTCTCTGGGTCTGTCCTGACCGCTTTCTCCATCTGCCTGGGTGCCTGGAGCCCTGACCATGGGCCTCCATGCAGGCCATGCAAGAGGGTTTGGAGGTGCCCTGTCTGCCATCCTGCACCCTGACCCCCCCCTCACACCCAGTCTTCGTGTTCTCTCTGCATCTGTCCATGCTTCTCCCCATCATCGGCAGGAAGCTCCTCAGCTATGGCTCTAGGATCATAAGACATGGGACAGACACGGGTTTTCCTCACCTGTGACAGAAACAAGCAGTGGGTCACTTGAGTTTGACCACACGCAGGGCAGGGCACGGAAAGAGCCGAAGCATCTGTAGGTCCCTCCGTGGGTGGCAGGGCCCAGAGGAAAGTCTGCCTGGAATGTTCTGTTGACCTTGGGCACTGCACGGAGCCTACGTTCATGGGCCTCCCCTTCCCTGGACAGATGGTAGATGTCATAGGAGCTCCAGGAGCTACAGGACAAGGTCACGTTCTCTCCTGCCTGAACCGTGGGGCCCGGCTGGGCTGAGAGAGAAGGTTTCTCATATAGACCTGGAAGGAGAAGAGGCAGTTTCCTCAGGGAGGTTCTTCCTTGTCACAGCTCCCCTCATACCTGAGCTGAGAACTCACTCCCCTGCTCTATGACCTAATGCTCTCTCTCTCTCTCACCCTCCACCCCAACTCTCTTCATGTCTATTTCCTCCTTCCGCCTTCTCTGTCTCTCTAGGTCTCTGACCTCACTTCCCCACCCCTGGGTATGCTTTCCCTTTTTGGATTGTTTTATTCTCTCTGACTCTCCTTGGATTGGTTGACTTGATCTTCCTTTTTCTATAATTCTGAGTCTCTCACTTTCTGTCTTGTTCATAACTTTCTGCATATTTCTATCTATTATCTATCTATCTATTTTGTGTCTATCTACAAATTATCTGTCATCTATATCTATGTATCATTTATCTATCAATTGTCTATCTGTCTATCCATCAATCATCTATGTATTATCTGTATCTATGTATCATCTCTCTCTCTCTCTATTACCTCTCTGTCTGCCTGTCAGTCTCTATGTATCATCTATGTATCTATATATTTATATATGTGTCTTCTATCTATCTATCTTCATCATCATCATCATCATCATCTCTATGTATCATCTATCAATCATCATCTATGTATCTATAACCTATCCATTATCTATCATCTACCTATTTATCATCTATCTATATCTATCTATCCATCTATCATCTGTCTCTCTCCATCTCCTTGTCTTTCTCTGCCTCTCAGTCTCTCTAGTTCTATTTGGAATCTCTGCAATCCATCCCCACATCTTTATCTTTCTCTGTCTTTGTGCCCCTCCCTCAGGGTTCTGATTTTGGGGCTTTTCTCTCCTCCCTTCCAGCATTCTCTCCACTCCTCTGCCCTCTTTTCTTTCTTTTTGTGTGTCTGTGAGTCTCTCAATCCCCTTCCTCTGGCTCATTCTCTGTGTGTTTATGCCTTTGCTTTTTGAAGTCCCTGATTTATCTCTGTGTCTCTCAGTGATCCTATTATATGTAGGATTATTTGGAATATGAGCCTCAGAATCTAGTCTGGGGACACCAAGTACACACAGTATTTAGGGGTTGGTGTTCTGGGGCCATGATATCCTGGGATAATTATGGCTCCACTGCATGGAAGGCAGAGGTGTCAGAATAAACATGGCATCTGTAGATGCCACAAGGCCTGAGGCCACAGGGCCCAACTCAGGTCAGAAATATGGGTGTCCTTGGGTTCTCCTCGTAGAAGCACTTTGTGGAGACAAAACAGAAATGAAACTTCTAACCTGTGCCAGGTCTCTGAGCAAAGTCAGCATGGAAGGACACTTCTCTCTGGCACATGTCTGTCTGTCTGAGTGTCTCCTTTACCTCTTTCTCTCTTTTCTACTTCCCCGTATGGCCCCTGTGTCTGTCCTCTGTTATGACACCTGGTCTGTACTTATGTCTCCTGTTTCCCTGTCTCTGTTGGTACAGACCTCACCGAGTCAGTCTCTCTCCATAAGAATCCCACGCTTATCTTCCTCATGACCACCTGGGGGTTCCAAGTCCTGGATCATTCACTCTGTGTCCCAATGACAATGAGAAGAATGTCTGGACACTCTCACCTGTGATCACGATGTCCAGGGGGTCACTGGGAGCTGACAACTGATAGGGGGAGTGAGGAACAGAACCATAACATCTGTAGGTTCCTGCAAGGACAGGCATCAAGGGACCGATGGAGAAGTTGGCCTTGGAGACCCCATCATGGATCTGTCCAACGAGGCGTGAGGGGTCCTCAGAGATCCCCTCTCTGTGCAGAAAGAAGTGCTCAAACATGACATCTGACCAACATTGCAGGATGACTGTCTCTCCTGATTTCAGCAGGGGCCCTGGGTGGGCCAGGAGGGAAGGTTTTCTGTGGTTTCCTAGAAAGAGAAGTTGTGAGTTTAGAAGGCATCTCTCTTTATCATCCCATCCATGGCACCTGGAATGAGTGAGGGTTCCCCTCCCAGAGGTCTGTCTCTCTCCTCCCTCTCTGTGTCTCCGTGTCTTTTCTGTGCCCATATCCCCTGGTGCAGGTCCCTCCATTTGTCTTCCTCCCTCTTCTCTGTCCCTCTGTCTCCAGTAGCCCCTGACTCCCTTCCCACTGTGAAGAGAGCCTCATCTCTTGGGCTGTTGTATCTCTTTCCCACTAGTCTCTTTCCTGCTGTCTATGTGGGGGTGGAAGAGGACAGGCTGCATGTCCAGGCTCTCAGCAGCCTGAATCAATCTCTTTTGAACAAATTGGAGTCTCTGGCAGAGGTATCAACTCATCAGTAAGGCAGACATCAGTGTCCACACACCCTGTTCCTGATGGGGATTGGGAGCCTCTCCTGCCATGTCTGTGCCTTCTCCATGGCCCCAGCTTCCATAGGGTGGTCCCTGGTGCTGGTTCCAGGAGCATCAACCCCTTCCTATGTGGATGGAGCCTGGTGGTGGCATCAGCATCCCACCCTTGCTGATCCCACGGTAGCCAACCTTCTCCTTGTTTGGTTTCTTTAATTAATTGATTAATTAATTTATTTTTGAGACAGTCACTTTTTCACCCAGGCTGGAGTGCAGTGGTGTTGTCTTGGCTCACTGCAACCTCTGCCTCCCCGGTTCAAGTGATTCTCTTGCCTCAGCCTCCCCAGTCGTTGGATTACTCGTGCCCACCACCACACCTGGCTATCCTTGTTTGGTTTCCTAGCTTGTCCTTGACCTGGGTTCCTGTGTCGGTTTCCTGTTGCTGCTGCAGAAAATTATCACAAACATGGCAGCAGGAGAGAACACACTGACCCCTTCCACTTCTGGGGACAGAAATTGGATCCAGTTCTCCCTGTGCTGAAATCAAGGCATCTGCAGGGCTGCGTTCCCTCTGGAGACTCAGCGAATCAGTTCTCTTGACTTCTCCAGCCCTTAGAGGCCACCTGCATTCTGTGACTAGTGGCCTTCCTCCACCTTCAAAGCCCACAGTGGCTGATAGCGTCTCCCTCCCACTACACTGCTCTAATCCCCACTCCCCTCTTCCTCCACCTCTCACGCGGACCCTTGTGATTACACTGAGCCCAGCAGGACAGTCCAGGCTGTCTCCCCATCTCAAGGTCAACTCATCAACAACCTGAGCTCCACCTTCCCCTTCAGTCCCCTGCCCTATAACATAAATAGTCACAGGCTCCAGGGTTTACAATGTAGCCATCATTGGCGACAGTGATTCTTCCCACCACAGCGCCCATTTCCCCTGTATTCAATCCCCCTTGACCCCAAATACAGTTGGGGCCTGGGTGATGGGACCCTGATGGACACCCCCACCAGAAGCTCTGGGATTCAGGAGGTGGGACAGTGAGAAGCCCAGACAGAAAGCCTCTGACCTGTGACCATGATCACCAGGGGGTTGCTGGGTGCCGACCACCCAGTGAGGGAGTGTGGGCGTGAACCCCGACATCTGTAGGTCCCTGCATGTGCTGGGGTCACAGGGCCCATGATGAAGCTCTCCTGGAATATTCTGCCGTGGAAGATGGGAACGTGGCTTCTGTCTTCTTTGTACAGCATGAAATTGTTAAACCCACGACGATAGTGACACTGAAGAGCCACGTGTCCTCCTCGAGGCACCACAGTGCTGGGCCGGGCAGACAGGAAGGGTTTGTCCTGACCACCTGGGGGAGAAGGAGGCACTGCCTTAGAGAGGAGGATGTGGAGCCGCCCCTCCCTCCCTGTGCTCAGAAGATTCTCCCATTTCCACTTTCTAAGGCTCCTACCACACCTGGGTGCCCAGGGCTACAGGAAGGACCCACCCCACATAGACATGGCGTCTCCCTACAACAAGTGTCAGCTGAGAACTTTGAGCAAGTGCTGAATAAGTGACTCTTACTAGATTTTAATACTGCAAAATTACTCACATAAAACAACACAAAGTAGACACGGCATGGAGGGCATGTCCTATGTGAATGGAATATCAGCCAATTCATGAACTGAGCCCCCTCAGAGGATTTGGAATGTCAGGGCCATGGCTGTGGTTTCCCCCCTCTTCTGGTAGAAAGACCGCAGCCACACTGCAGTCCCTACCGTCACGGAAACGCTGGAGGGTGTCAGTTATACCTTTGTCCTCAGAGGACCTGCTGTTCCTAGCACTGCATCCCTCTCTTTCTCTGCTGCTGACACCACTTCCTCCCTGCACACCCCAGCTTGGAGCACCCCAGTCTCACCCCAGTCTTCACAGAGCTTGACTCAGGAAAGGGAAAGAAAGGCCGGGGAGGGCGAGGTCAGAAATGTGGGCCGAGTATCCAAGGGTCCCCTCTTCCTAGTTTATGAGAGACTCCCCGACAGGACTTCCCTCCTGTTTCAGAAAAATCCTCTTATGTGGGGAGATGACACCCTAAGGTTTGGGGAAGGACTCACCCATGAGTGGCCAGGCCCCCTGCAGCAAGAAGAACCCTGGAAAGAAAGATCATGATAGACGATCCAACTGCAGGCAAACCAGGGCACCCTGCTGCCCCCACTGCACTGTGTGTCTTGGCAGCCAGGCCCTTGCTGGGCTGAAGGTAAACTTAGCCTCCCTGCTACCTGCTGCCAAGAACAGGGCTCTCAGCTGTGGAGAGACCCAGGCTCCAGGCCCAGATCAACACTTCCTGGCCCAGATCTCCACTCCAGGCCCATATCTCCACTCCAGGCCCCTATCTCCACTCCAGGCCCATATCTCCACATCAGACCCATATCTCCACTCCAGGCCCATATCTCCACATCAGACCCATATCTCCACTCCAGGCCCAGATCTCCCCTCTAGGCCCATATCTCCACTCCAGGCCCATATCTCCACTCCAGGCCCATATCTCCACATCAGACCCATATCTCCACTCCAGGCCCATATCTCCACTCCAGGCCCAGATCTCCACCTGCAGGCCCATATCTCCACCCCAGGCCCATATCTCCACTCCAGGCCCGTATCTCCACTCCAGGCCCATATCTCCACACCCAGGCCCATATCTCCCCTCCAGGCCCATATCTCCACTCCAGGCCCATATTTACACCTCCAGGCCCATATCTCCACACCCAGGCCCATATCTCCACTCCAGGCCCATATCTCCACTCCAGGCCCATATCTTTACCTCTAGGCCGAGATCTCCATCCCCACTCTCCCTCCCTCTATTCCCTTCCAGGACTCACCAACGCACGCCATGCTGACGACAGTGAGCGACATGGTGCTGCCGGTGCAGACAGGAGGCCGCGCCCCAGCTCAGCTCAGCAGCGCACAGGATGTTATTTGGCGCCCTGCCCATGCAGTTTACATGTTGACCACATCATGGGAGGGTGACGTACGCAGGCTCTTTCTACCTTGCATGAGGCCCAGTGGGTGCTCGCTCAAGAGCGGAACATGGCTTCCTGGAAATTGTTGTGACTACAATTGCCACCTTGCATCCTTCACTATGACCAGACTCAAAAGACGTCTCAGATCCAACCTCTCACACATGAGGTGATTGAATTCTGTGCTTACATTAAAG
This sequence comes from Homo sapiens, assembly GCF_000001405.40. Lineage (NCBI taxonomy): Eukaryota > Metazoa > Chordata > Mammalia > Primates > Hominidae > Homo > Homo sapiens. Next base: position 151,807 of record NW_016107309.1, on the reverse strand, counting down.
ACTTTTGATGTATTTTTGTTTTTATCTGAGATTCAAACTTTTCTTCATGTGTAATGTGCAAAATATCTAAGAGGTATTATTAACATTATCAGAGTAATTGTGACAAAAAGCCATTCTAATTTTCCTGATGAGTTTCTAGTACTAAACCTGAGGCACGAGAATTGCTTGAACCTGGGAGGCGGAGGCTGCAGTGAGCTGAGCTCAAGCCACTGAACTCCAGCTTGGGTGACCGAGGAAGAGTCTGTCTCAAGAAAGAAAAAAAAAAGCAAACTAAATAACCTATAATAACAAATCAGAGAACTCAGGTTACCAAATTTTAAGGGGTTCTATAAGTTTATATGAAATGCAGCATCCTCATGAGAGGGGATACAGAGAACCACTGGGCAGAAAACTGTGTCTAAAATACATCTGTGGATACACAGTCCCTTTATAGTTGACAAAGGCTGCCATGTAGTTTAAGGTGGAATAGAATATTTTCTCAATAAATAACACAGGACCATAGGGTTACACGTAGGAAAAAATAAATCTAAACTTATCCTCACACTATAAAAACACTTCTTATTTTTTATCTTGTTGTTGTAAACTTTTTATGCTTTATTTTTAAGATTGACAAATAAAAATTATATACTGTGGTCCTTCACTATTCCTGGGTGATTGGTTCCAGGATCCCCATTCAGATACCAAAATCTGCAGATGCTCAAGCCCCTTGCATGAAATGGCATAGCGAAGCTGGGCACCGTGGCTCACGCCTGTAATCCCAGCACTTTGGGAGGCTGAGTTGGGTAGATCACGAGGTCAGGAGTTCAAGACCAGCTGGTCCAACATTCTGAAACCCCATCTCTACTAAAAATACACACACAAAAAAATTTATCTGTGCATGGTGGCACGTGCCTGTAATCCTAGGGGAGGCTACTGGGGAGGCTGAGGGAAGACAATCGCTTGAACCTGGGAGGCGGAGGTTGCAGTGAGCTGAGATCATGCCACTGCACTCCAGCCTGGGTGAGAGAGTGAGACTGTCTCAAAAAAAAAAAATAGCATAGTAATTGCATAGAACCCATGCACATCCTCCTGTATACATGAAATCATCTCTTGATTACTTATAATTCCTGACACAGCCTACACGCCACTCAATTTGTGTCGATTCAACATAGTTTTTTGCTTCTTGAAACTTCGGGGATTTTTTTCTGAAAATATTTTTGATTTATTGTTGGTTCAATAAACACCTGTAAACCCCACAGATATGGAGGACCGACTGTATATTTATATTATGAAAGATGATATGTTGATATGTGTCCCCGTGGAGATGAGGCTAACAAGGCCTATGACTCTACAAATGTTTCATCGTGGAATGACTCTGCCAGCTTTCCAGGTCTGCAGAGAGTAAGAATATCACTTGTTCATGTGATTCACGATCCTTGGAGCCTCCTATGTGCTGTATCTTTGGATGGAAATTGGAGTCTCAGAGACAAATCAGGCTCCATTCTGCTTCCAGAAGCTCAGAGTCCAGGGCTGAGAACCCAATGGAGAACAGATGGGGTTATGTGGACACGGTAATGATAACACCGGAAGCCTTAGGCAAGAAAAGAGTCTCGTTACCGAAACCATGAGGGCAGACATGTTTATTTGAAGGCGGGAAAACTACATTGAAATTATTTAAAAAATTTATAAGTTTTACTGCTGGCAGAAGGCTGAAAGATAGTCTGAAGGGAGGTGGAACAGCACGTGTCTAAGTGCTGTGTTAAGAGGCAGCCTCTTGTATGTTTGGAATTGTGAGTTCCTCAGTGTGATTGCAGCCTCAGGTAGACTAGGAAGTAAGCCAGTTAGGTTGGAGAGGTGGGCAGGGGTCAAGTGAAATGGAGAATTGTGGGCTAAGCAAAGGAGTGTGTTTTCTCTCCAGCAGGCAGTGGGGACCTTAGACATTTGTAAGCAAGAGAGAGGCATGTTCAGATTCGTGGTGTGAGGAAGAGCGATGCCCTAAGATGAAGACTGATGCCTTCAGATTCCAGCTGCTGGTACATGGGAGCTGGCAACCCGGTTTTGAGACAGGGCTGTTGTCTCCCTAGAAGATCCCCTCAAGGCCTGACTGTGGTGCTCGTGGACAGAAGACAACTTTGGATCTGGGCTCAGCATTTGGAAGTTCTATGTACATGCTGGTATCTGTTGGGGGTGTCTTGGGCCTCTCAGAAGGGCGAGTGATTTTTCTCTGTGTGAAAACACAGTGATCCAATTATGCGTATGACACCTCCTGATGGTCTTGTTCATCAGAATCCTGGAGAGAGGGAAATGCTGAGTGAGGGAGGGTGCTCACATTTTTCAGGACTCTTTGGGAATAAGACTAGCCACGAGGCTGGGCCGAGGAGCACCTACCTCGCTGTTCACTGTTCTGTTCCCTGCAGGCTCTTGGTCCATTACAGCAGCATCTGTAGAAGACGGAAGTCAACAAAAGAGCTCGGAGGGCACTTCTGGGTCCTCATTTCATAAGCAGATACCAACAAACAGGGGGAGGCCATAGGTGCCTGAGGTCCCTCAGTTGCCAACAGCAGACTCAGACATTCTATCTCTCTGAGTTCAAGGACCCATCCCATGAATAGCTCTGAGGTCCCATCCCATTGATTCTATCTCCCACTTTCTGCCTGTCATGGAACCTTCTCCTGGATGTGAGTGGCTGCAGGGGACGTGAGGATACAGTTCAGAATCAGGCAATGGTCTGTGAGCTGAAGGCAGGGGAAGGGAATCTGGTGCTCTCTCTAGAAAGTCCTGCCTCTGTGGCTCCTGTCTTGGGCCAGGGACCATCCTGCTGGTGAGGAACACACATCCGCGTGCTCCCATCCTGCTTCCCCACATGGCCCTGAGCTCTCTGGCCTCTGCTTCGTGAGACTTACTTTTTTTGTCGGAGCACCAGCGATGAAGGAGAAAGAAGAGGAGGATGGTGAAAGGGATTTTGACCACTGAGGTCCCAATCAGAACATGTAGGTGTCTGGGGTTACCTGGAAGAAGAGGAGACACCAATAAGAAGCTAATCATAGCAGTTCCTCTTTATGAATTGTCTCGCATTTCTTGATTGGCAGGTAACCACATACAACGTCTCTTTAGGACAAGCACCCAAATGGCGGGAGACCTAGCTTTCCCCTGCTTTCTCAATTATAGCTCTCATAGTAACCATAGAACGTGCTGAGGATACAACTACTTTAGTTGAGATGTTTGACCCTTTCAAACCTCACATTGAAATTTCACCCCCATTGTGGGAGGTTGGGCCTCTTCAGAGGTGTTTGGGTCATGGAGGTGGATCCATCATGAACAGACCAATGCTGTCCCAAGGAGACGGGGTTAGCAAGTTCCCCCTCTGTTAGTTCCTGGAGAGCTGGTTGTTAAAAAGAGCTTGGAAGCTCCATCGCTCCCTCTCCCCCTTACTCTCTCTCTTGCCGTGTGATCTCTGCGGTCTCTGCACAGACAGACCCTCCTTCCCTTCTGCCAGAGTGGGAGCAGCCTGAGGCCATCACGAGAAATAGATTCTGGTGCCATGCTTCCAGTACAGCCTGCAGAACTGTGAGGCAAACCAATCTCTTTTCTTTAGAAGTTACCCAGGCTCAAGTGTTCCTTTAGAGCAACAAAAATGGACTAAGATAGCAACATCCTGAGATCAGGAGGAATGTCTCAGAACAGCCTGGGCTGTCTTCCTGTTCTTCCTGGAGGAGGACGTCATGCAGTGCTTTAGCTGAGTGCTTCCTGTGGCTCCAGGGTACAAAACCCAGGCTGGGCTGCTTTCTGGCTTCCCCCAGTTACACTGCAAATGGGGTGACTCCATATGTCCCGAGCAGCTTTTCTGAGCCTTGAGGGACTGGCTCACATTGAAATGCAGGCTTCTGTTGTCACTCACTGCTTATCTGTTAGTAATGAACCTGCCTATGTAACGTATTCTCTGTGTGTTCTGTCTCCCTGGAGTGACGGTGAGTGATAGGAATTGGCATAGGCCCAGGTGCAGTCCAGGATTTGTTTAGAGTCTTCTCTGGGAAGACTGCACTGGGATTGATACACAGCGAATGTGCTTTAGGATTTCTACATCCACAGCATTCTTGAGTCAAACAAATTGCATTCACCAAGGAAAGGAAACAAAGGTGAAATCACGATTAAAAATAGCGAAGCAAGATTCTCTTATGTCAAACAGCCAGAAAATAGTGTTGAAGCCCGTGTGAAATGTGCTGCTCTTTGTGATCTCGGGAGACACATGTTAGGCTGCTGTTCTACCCGAGAGGCTGGGGGAAGGACCACCCCCTCCACCATCTATTGCTTCAATACCACCTGTCCTCCTGTGAATTAGTAGGAAAGGGGAACAGGAGCTAGTGCTGTCGCTGATCTCTGATTCCAAGATCTGGACTCACTCCAAGGAGTATTAATGTTTCCTCCCCATGGTCTATCTGAATCTCCACAGGTGATTGGAAGTAGGGGTGAGGTGGGGGATTTGGGTGAGTGGGCAAGTTTTTTTTTGCGATGACCAGAGCACTTTCTCTATTCCAGGATCCGTGCTGGAGGATTCAGCGGGCTTTCACATTTTCTATGTGATCTCATGCTCACAGAAAGCCAAATAGGGAAGAGGTTTTAGGCTCATTGCCTAATGGATAAGATAAAGGATCAAAGAAGTAATTATAGAGAAATAGAAAAATGATGATTGGAATTCAGGTGCCTTTGTCATTCGTGTGTGTTTTATTATATTTATGCATTTCTTATTTTTATTTTTTGAGACGGAGTCTCCTTGTGTCACCCAGGCTGGAGTGCAGTGATGCAATCTCCACTCACTGCAACCTCCACCTCCTGGGTTGAAGTCATTCTCCTGCTTCATCCTCCAGAGTAGGAGCTGGGATTACAGGGATGCACCACCATGCTCGGCTAATTTTTGTATTTTTAGTAGAGACAGGGTTTCACCATGTTGGCCAGGCTGGTCTGGAACTCCTGACTTCATGGAATCCACCCGCCTTGGCCTCCTGCAGTGCTGGGTTACAGGCGTGAGCCACCGTTCACAGACTTGTATATTATGCTATAATAGGTCCCTTCATTTCCACCACCCCTCATATATCTGTCACTCCTTTGCCAGGTATTGATTTATGTGTAGGATGAATAAATCTCAGAAAGAAATTAATTAAGCGAGGATTAAACAAGTAGGAAAATCAAACCCAGCAAGCCTTTCCAGCCAATGATTCTACCTCACAAACATAGCTTATATCCATCTGCTTCATCCACTTAGTGTCAAAATCAGCACCACATTTCACCAGTGGGGTGGCAATTGCCTTTTCCACAGTCTCCTAGATTCCAGTTACGCACCTGGGCCTCCCTTATTTTCATGTCAGTCACTATTAATCATGTAGGGATTCCTGGTTACCTCGAGGTGAATCCAACGGCTGTGAGTGTCAAACACACACTCCTTGTTGCTCCTTAGTTTCCTGTGTACCCAGTGTGCTCTCCGTCTCTCTACAGTTGTCTTGTCATTCTCCCCATCTCATTCCCAGCATTTCAGGCAGAGCCTCTTCCTTCCACATCAGATTGTTTTCAGCTTTCTGCCTTCACGGCTGACAGCTGTGTGTGGAAAATCCTTCCGCCAATCTTTCAGGGGTTCAATCCGTGTTTTTCATTAATGTCACAAATATCTGATTAGTGAGACCTTCTCTGTCACCCAAAATTATACACTCAGCATTATCTATTATTGATTTTGAATTCTGGCTGGGCACAGTGGCTCACGTCTTTTATCCCAGTACTTTGGGATGCTGAGATGGTTGGATCACTTGAGGTTGGGAGTTTCAGACAAGCTTGGCCAACATGGTGAAACATCCTCTCTACAAAAAATATACAAAAAGAATTAGCCGGGCATGGTGGCAGTTGCCTGTAATCCCAGCTACTCGAGAGGGTGAGGCAGGAGAATCACTTGGATCCAGGAGACGCAGGTTGCAGTGAGCCAAGATCGTGACACTGCACTGTAGCCTGGAAGACAGAGGGAGACTCTGTCTCAATAAACAAACGAACAAACAAACAAATAGATTTCATGCACAGATGCTTCCCAATGGATCATTCATTTATTGGTCCACTTGTGCATTCATTTTCTGTCCTCCCATTTAACCATCTGCAATATCAGTGTCCCAAGAGCAGAGGCCAAATGCATCTTGTTCACCATTTGTGGAAGGCAGGAGAATGCTGTCCCACCCCAAAATGTCCCTGTCCTAGCCTCCATAGCTTGTGAATATGTTATTTTACATGGAAAGGAGGAATGAAGATTGCAGATGGAATTATGGTTGCTAATCAGCTGAACTTAAAACAAGGGTATCCTGAATGATTTCCGGGAGATTATGACGGATTTTCATCTTGGTGAACCCAATAGAATCCCCAAGTTTTCAAAAGATGAGGAAGAAGGGAGAGCAGCATTCAGAGAAAGAGGTGTGGTAAGGAAGAAGGGTCTGAGTGATGCCATGTGAGATGTGACCAGTCTTTGTGGGTTTTGAGGAAGGAGGAAGGGGACCAGCAGCCAAGGAACTGGGAGCCTTTATAAGATGGGACAAGTGAGAAGCAGATTCTTGCCTGGAATCCTCAGAGGGAAGGCAGGCTTGCTGTCATCTTGATTTTAGCCCAGTGAGATGCACTTCATGCTTTGAGCTAGAGCACTGTAAGATAATTAAATAACCGTTTTGTTTTCACCCACGAATCTTGTGGAAATTTGTTATGGCAACAATAGGAAAAGCTTCCACACTGCACAACCTGAGCATGGGGCCGTGGCTGAATAAGTCAGTGAGTCAAAGTGTGCGTGCATGAGCTCTGTTCTCTGTTACGGCAAGGCTCTTGCTCTGCTGAGTCAGCCAGGGTTGTTTCATGACCAACAGGAGCTCATTCCTTGGCAAGTGGAACTTCTCTAAAACACCTCGCCCTCATCAGATGTTCGCTTCCCTTCCCTCTCTCAAGCCCCCAGGAATTTATCCTCCAGTTAGGAATGCAAGCAGAACAAACATTGCATTTTTCCTGAGAAGGATGTCAGATTGGCAATCATTCTTCTAGCTTGTAGGAGGTCTCAGCTCCATAAAATGAGAGATGAAGAGATTTCACTGAGCCCTGTGTTGGGCCCAGATCCCTTTCGCTGTTGGAGTATCTGGAGTTCGGAGATGGTAGAAGACAGGCGTACAATGTCAGAGCTGTGAGATGCTGAGTCAACGCCTGAATCCAAGGTTTCCACCTCCCCAGGGTTCCAAAAGCGGATATAAGAGGGTTCTGTACTCACCGGTTTTGGAGCTTGGTTCAGTGGGTGAAGGCCAACTATTTGAAGGGTTTCCTAGAACATGAGACAGGAGAGAGGTGAGGAAATGAGGGTGTCTGTCCTCTACTCAGTGGAAATCTTTGAGTTTGGTTCATGGCCAACACTCTGTTATCTAACATTGGGCCCTGGGAGTCCAGGGATCCTTTCTTCCATAATTTTTGTATGTGACGCCCACTGTCTTGAGACTTCAAGGTATAAAGAGAAAACAGGAGCATCACACTACCTGATCTCAAAATATGTTACAGAGCTGTAGTAAGCAAAACAGCATGATGTTGGCATGAAGAAAGGCACATAGAACAACGGAGCAGAATGAAGAACACAGATATAATCCATGCATTTACATCCAATTTTTTTTATTTTTTCTTTTGAGATGGAGTCTCGCTCTGTCACCCAGGCTGGAGTGCAGAGGTGCAATCTCGGTTCACTGCAACCTCAGCCTCCTGGGTTCAATCAATTCTCTTGCCTCAAACTCCTGAGTAGTAGTATTACAGGTGCTGACCACCATGCTCAGCTAATTTTTATATTTTTAGTGGAGACGATGTTTCATCACGTCGGCCAGAGTAATCTTGTACTCCTGTCCTCAGGTGATCCACCAGCCTTGGCCTCCCAAAGTGCTGAAGTTGCTGGTGTTAGCCACCATGCCCAGCCCATCCAATGGACTTTGACAAAGGTGCCAAGAACTCACAATCAGGAAAGGACAGTTTTTTCAATAAACAGTGCAGGGAAACCTGGACATCTACATGCAGAGGAATGAAACTGCACCTCTACCTGTCACCATACACAAAAATCAAATGAAAGTGGATTAAAGATGTGAGTCTAAGGCCTGAACCTGTGAAACACGTAGAAGAAAATATTGGGGAAATGCTCCAGGACATTTGTCTGAAGGAAGACATTTTGTTTTAAACCTTCAAAACACAAGTAATCGAAGCAAAAATAGACCATTGGGATTACCTCAAACTAAGCAACTTCTGCACCGCTAAAAATAAACCAACAAAGTGAAGAGACAACCCACAGATTGGGAGCAAATATGTGCAAACTATGCATCTGAGACGGGATTAATAACTAGAAGTATAAGAAGCTCAAACAACTCAATAAAACAAATGATTTAATTGAAAAAGGAGCAAAAGACATGAAATTTCCCCACATACGAAAAAGTGCTCAGTATCACTCATCATCAGAGAAACGCGAATTAAAATCAAAGTGAGTTTTCATCTCACCCCATTAAAATGGCTTTTAGGCCGGGCGAGGTGGCTCACGTCTGTCATCCTAGAACTCTGAGAGCCCGAGGTGGGCGAATCTCATAAGGTCGGGAGTTTGAGACCAGTCTGACCCACATGGAGAAACGCTGTCTCTACTAAAAATACAAAAATTAGTCGGGCGTGGTGGCGTGTGCCTGTAATTCCAGCTACTCGGGAGGCTGAGGCAGGAGAATCGCTTGAACCTGGGAGGTGGAGGTTGCGGTGAGCCGAGATCGCACCACTGCACTCCAGCCTGGGTGAGAAGAGCGAAACTCCATCTCAAAATAAAATGAAATAAAATAAAATGGCTTTTAGCTGCAAGACAGGCAAAAGAAATGCTGGCAAGGTGGTAGAGAAAGGAGAACCCTGGTACCCTGTTGGTAGGAGTGTAAATTAGTACAGCCATTACGGAGAAAAGTATGGAAGTCCTTTAAAGAACTAAAAAGAGGTTGGATGAAGTGGATCATGCCTGTAATCCCGGCACTTTGGGAGACCGAGGCGGGCACCTCAGTTGAGGTCATGAGTTTGAGAGCAGCCTAGCCAACCTGGGGAAACCCCATGTACACTAAAAAAAACCAAAAAGTATCCCGGCATGGTGGCGTGCACCTGTAATCCCAGCTACTAGGGAGGCTGAGGCAGGAAAATCATTTGAACCCAGGAAGCGGAGGTTGCAATGAGCCAAGATCACATCACTTGTACTCCAGCCTGGGCACAGAGGGAAACTGTCTCAAAAACAAAAACAAAACAACAAACGAAAAACTAAAAAGAGAACTTTCATAGTATCCAGCAATTTCACTACTGGGTTTATATCCAAAGGAAAGTAAATCAATGTATCGAAGTGATATCTGCACTCGTATGATTGGTGCAGCACTCTTCACAGTAGCCAAGATGTGGAGTCAACCTACCTGCCCATCAGTGGATGAATGGATAGAGAGAATGTAGTACATACGCACAGCGGAGACTACTCATCCATAGAAAGAATAACATCCTGATATTTGCAGCCACATGGATGGAACTGGAAGTCATTACAAAGATTCCCATTTCTCACCCATATACAGGAGCTAAAAGGTGGATCTCATGAAGATAGAGAGTAGAATGGTGGCTACCAGAGGCCAGGAAGAAAAGGGTGGAGGATAAAACAAACAAACAAAAAATTTATATGTATGTATTTATGACCACTAGACCTTACACTTAAAATTGGTAAACGTGGCCGGGCGCGGTGGCTCATGCCTGTAATCCCAGCACTTTGGGAGCCTGAGGCGGGTGGATCACGTGGTCAGGAGTTCCAGAGCAGCTCGACCAACATGGTGAAACCCCCTCTCTACTAAAAATACAAAAAGTAGCCTGGCGTGGTGATGGGCGCCTGTAGTACCAGCTACTCAGGTGGCTGAGGCAGGAGAATCGCTTGAACCCAGGAGGCGGAGGTTACAGTGAGCTGAGATTGTGCCACTGCATTCCAGCATAGGAGACAGAGCTAGACTCCACCTCAAAAAAAAAAAATGTTAAAAGTGGTAAGCTATATAGGTATATTTAACCTCAATGAATATTTTTTCAAACAAAAAGAAAAGGATGTAGGGGTTGCTGGTGATGACATCTCTGTGTGGGTGAGAGGCCAGGAAGGGCTTCTGGGAAATGGGTAAGGTTGAGGGGCTGAGGGAACCTCTGATCTCCCCAAACTGAGCCCAGTCTCCCCTGCTCTGGGTCTCTCCTGACCGCTTTCTACATCTGCCTGGGTGCCTGGAGCCCTAATCGGAGGCCTCCATGCAGGCCATGCAGGAGGGTTTGGAGGTGCTGTGTGTGCCATCCTGCGCCCTGATCCCTCCCTCACAGGCATGCTGCGTCTTCTCTCTGCATCTGTCCATGCTTCTCTCCATCATCAGCAGGAAGCTCCTCAGCTAAGGCTCTAGGATCATAGGACATGGGACAGATATGGGGTTTCCTCACCTGTGACGGAAACAAGCAGTGGATCACTCGAGTTTGACCACTCGTAGGGAGCGTCACGGAAAGAGCCGAAGCATCTGTAGGTCCCTCCGTGGGTGGCAGGGCCCAGAGGAAAGTCGGCCTGGAATGTTCCGTTGATGCTGCGCACTGCAGGGAGCCTACGTTCATGGGCCTCCCCTTCCCTGGATAGATGGAGCTGCAGGACAAGGTCACATTCTCTCCTGCCTGAACCGTGGGGCCCGGCTGGGCTGAGAGAGAAGGTTTCTCATATAGACCTGGAAGGAGAAGGGGCAGTTTCCTCAGGGGGGATCTTCCTTGTCACAGCTCCCCTCACACCTGACCTGAGAACTCACTCCCCTGCTCTATGGCCTAATGCTCTCTTTCTCTGTCTCACCCTCCACCCCATCTCTCTTCATGTCTATTTCCTCCTTCCACCTTCTCTGTCTCTGTAGGTCTCTGACCTCACTTCCCTACCTCTAGTTATGTTTTCCGTTTTTGGATTGTTTTATTCTCTCTGGCTCTCCTTGGATTGGTTGACTTGATGTTACTTTTTTTAACTCTGAGTTTCTCAGTTTGTGTCCCGTTCATAACTTTCTGCATATTTCTATCTATTATCTATCAATCCATCTATTTATCTATTCGGTGCCTATCTACAAATTCTCTACCTGTCATCTATATCTATATATCATCTATTTATCTATCAATTGTCTATCCGTCAATCATCTATTATCTATATATATGTATCATCTCTCTCTCTCTATTATTTCTCTCTTTGTCTTCCTCTCTATCTCTATGTATTATCTATCCATCTACCTTCATCATCATCATCTCTATGTATCATCTATTAATGAATCAATCAATCATCATCTATGTATCTATAACCTATTATCTATCATCTACCTATATATCATCTATCTATATCTATCCATCATCTATCTGTATCTATCCATCTATCATCTGTCTTGCTCTGCCTCTCGGTCTCTCTAGTTCTCTTTGGAATCTCTGCAATTCATCCCCACATCTCCATCTTTCTATGCCCTTGTGCCTCGCCCTCAGGACTCTAATTTTAGTGGTTTTCTCTGCTCTCTTCCATCATTCTCTCCACTTCTCTGCCCTCTTCTCTCTCTTTATGTGTCTGTGAGTCTCTCAATCTCCTTCCTCTGGCTCTTTCTCTGTGTGTTTATGTCTTTGCTTTTTGGTGTCCCTGATTTCTCTCTGTGCTTCTCAGTGATCCTCTCATATGTGATATGTGGGGTTATTTGGAATGTGAGCCTCAGAATCCAGTCTGGAGACCACAAGTTCACACAGCATACAGGGGTTGGTGTTCTGGGGCCATGATATTTTGGGACGATTATTCTCCATTGCATGGAAGTCAGAGGTGTCAGAATAAGCATGGCATCTGTAGGTGCCACAAGGCCTGAGGCCACAGGGCCCAACTCAGGTCAGAAATATGGGTGTCCTTGGGTTCTCCTGGTAGAGAACACTTTGTGGAGGTAAAACAGAAATGAAACTTCTAACCTGTGCCAGGTCTCTGAGCAAAGTCAGCATGGAAGGACACCTCTGTCTGGGACATGTCTGTCTGTCTCCTTTAACTCTTTCTGTCTTTTCTAACTCCCTGTATGGCCCCTGTGTTTGTCCTCTGTTATGACACCTGGTCTGTACTTGTGTCTCTTGTTTCTCTGTCTCTGTTGGCACAGACCTCACCAAGTCAGTCTCTCTCCATAAGAATACCAAGCTCATCTTCCTTACAACCACCTGGGTCTCCAAGTCCTGGATCATTCACTCTGCATCCCAATGACAATGAGAAGAATGTCTGGACACTCTCACCTATGATCACCATGTCCAGAGGGTCACTGGGAGCTGACAACTGATAGGGGGAGTGAGTAACAGAACCGTAGCATCTGTAGGTTCCTGCAAGGACAGGCATCATGGGACCAATGGAGAAGTTGGCCTTGGAAACCCCATCATGGTGCTCTCCAATGAGGTGCAAAGTGTTGTTAAACTTCCCCTCTCTGTGCAGAAGGAAGTGCTCAAACATGACATCCGACCAACATTGCAGGATGACTGTCTCTTCTGATTTCACCAGGTGACCTGGGAGGGCCAGGAAGGAAGGTTTTCTGTGGACTTCTAGGAAGAGAGGTTGTGAGTTTAGAAGGTGTCTCTCTTTATCATCCCATCCATGGCACCTGGAATGAGTGAGCCTTCCCTTCGCTGGTGTCTGTCTCTCTGCTTCCTCTCTGTGTCTTCATGTTCTTTTCTGTGCCCATAACTCCTGGTGCAGGTCCTTCCATCTGTCTCCCTCCCTCTTCTCTGTCCCTCTGTCTCTAGTAGCTGTGATTCCCTTCCCACTGGGCTCAGCCTCATCTCTTGGGCTGTTGTATCTATTTCACACTAATGTCTTTCTTACTGTCTATGTGGGAGTGGAAGAGGAAGCAGGATAGGCTGCACGTCCCGGCTCTTAGCAGCCTGGTTCAATCTCTTTTGGACGAATTGGAATCCTTGGCAGGAGGTATGAACTGATCAGTAAGGCAGGCACCAGTGTCCACACACCCTGTTCCTGGTGGGGACTGGGAGCCACTCTTGCCATGTCTGTGCCTTCTCCATGGTGCCAGTTTCCATAGGCTGGCTCCTCGTGCTGATTTGAGGAGTATCAACCCCTCCCTATGTGGATGGAGCCTGGTGGTAGCATCATCATCCCACCCTTGCTGATCTCGGTGTAGCCAACCTTCTCTTTGTTTGGTTTCTTTAATTAATTAATTAATTTTGGAGACAGAGTCTCACTCCTTCGCCCAGGCTGGAGTGAAGTGGTGTGGTCTACGCTCACTGCAACCTCTGTCTCCTGGGTTCAAGCGATTCTCCTGCTCTCAGCCTCCCGAGTCGCTAGGATTACATGCACCTGCCACCATGCCTGGCTATCCTTGTGTCTTTTCTTAACTTGTCCTTGACCTGGGTTCCAGTGTTGGTTTCCTGTTGCTGCTGTAGAAAATTATCAGAAGCATGGCAGCAGGAGAGAGCACACTGACCCCCTCCGATTCTGGAGACAGAAAGCGGACGCTGTTTTTCGAGGGCTAAAATCAAGGCATCTGCAGGGCTGTGTTCCCTCTGGAGACTCAGGAGAATCAGTTACTTGACTTTCCCAGCCTCTATAGGCCACCTGCATTCATGGCTTATGGCCTTCATCCACCTTCAAAGCTGATGGAGTCTCCCACTACGCTGCTCTAATCCCCACTCTCCTCTTCCTCCTCCTTTCATGTGGACCCTTGTGATTATACTGAGCCCACCGGGACAGTCCAGGCTGTCTCCCCATCTCAAGGTCAACTCATCAACAACCTGAGCTCCATCTTCCCCTTCAGTCCCTTCCCCTATAACATAAATAGTCACAGACTCCAGGGATTAGAATGCAGTCATCATTGGGGACACTTATTCTTCCCACCACAGCACCCATTTCCCTGTATTCAATCCCCCTTTACCCCAAATACAGTTAGGGCCTGCGTGATGGGACCCTCAAGGACATGCCTACCAGAAGCTCTGGGATTCAGGAGGTGGGACAAGGAGAATCCCAGACAGGAGCCCTCTGACCTGTGACCATAATCACCAGGGGGTTGCTGGGTGCCGACCACCCACTGGGGGAGTGTGTGTGTGAACCCCGGCATCTATAGGTCCCTGCATGTGACGGGGTCACAGGGCCCATGAAAAGGCTTTTCCAGAATATTCTGTTGTACAGCTCAGGGACAGGCACCCCATCATCCTTGTACAGACTGAAGTTGTTAAACCCAAGATTAGAGTGACACTGAAGAGTCACATGTTCTGGAGGCACCACAAGGCTGGGCCAGGTAGAAAGCAAGGGCTTGTCCTGACCACCTTGGGGTGAAGGAGGCGCCGCCTTAGAGAGGAGGATGTGGAGCTGTGCCTCCCTCCCTGTGCTCAGAAGATTCTCCCCACTTTCCACATTTCTATGGCTGCTATCACACCTTGGTGCCTAGGGCTAAAGGAAGGACCCATCCCACAAAGACAAGGTGTCTCCGTACAACAAAAGTGTCAGCTGAGAACTTTGAGCAAGTGCTGAGTAAGAGACTCCTACTAGATTTTAATACTGTAAGATTACTCACATAAAACAACACAGGGTAGACATGAAGTGGAGGGCATGTCCTTTGAGAATGGAATATCAGCAGTTGCCTGAATGAAAATAAAAAACTTAGCCCCCATCAGAGGATTTGGAATGTCAGGGCCATGGCTGTGGTTTCCCACCTCTTCTGGTAGAATGACAGCAGCCACACTGCAGCCCCTACCATCATGGAAACGCTGAAGTGTGTGAGTAACACCTTTGTCCTCAGAGGATCTGCTGTTCCTACCACTTCCCCACCACACAACCCAGCTTTGAACACCCTAGTCCAACCCTGGTCCCCACACAACTTGACTCTGCCAAGGGGTTGAGAGGCCAGGGAGGCAAGGTCGGAACTGTGGGCCGAGCACCCCAGGGTCCCCTCTTCCTAGTTTATAAGAGACTCCCTGACAGGACTTCCCTCCCGTTTCAGGAAAATCCTCTTATGTGGGGAGATGACACCCTAAGGTTTGGAGAAGGACTTACCCTCCTGTGGCCAGGCCCCCTGCAGCAAGAAGAACCCTGGAAAGAAAGATCATGATGGAAGATCCATTTGCAGGCAAACAAGGCCTTCCTTGCTGCCCCCACTGGGCTGTGAGTCTTGATAGCCAGCCCCTTCCTGGGCCGAAGGGAAACTCACCATCAGTGCCTACCTGCACCCAAGAACAGTGCTCTCGGCTGTGCAGAGACCCAGCCTCCAGGCCCATATCCCCACCCCAAGCCCATATCTCCACTCCAGGCCCATATCTCCACTCCAGGCCGATATTTCCACCCTAGACCCATATAGCCAATCCGGGCCCACATCTCCAATCCAGGCTCAGATCTCCACCCTAGGCCCATATCTCCAATCCAGGCCCATATCTCCACTCCAGGCCCATATCTCCTCTCCAGTCCCATATCTCCACTCCAGGCCCATATCTCCACCCCAGGCCCAGATCTCCACCTCCAGGCCCATAACTACACTCCAGGATCATATCTCCACTCCAAGCCCATATCTCCACATCAGGCCCATATCTCCACTCCAGTCCCATATCTCCACACCCAGGCCCATATCTCCATTCCAGGCCCATATCCCCATCCTAGGCCCATATCTTCACCGTAGGCCCAGATCTCCACTCCAGGCCCATATCTCCACTCCAGGGCCATATCTCCACTCCAGGCCCATATCTACACACCAGGCCCATATCTCCACCCCATGCCCATGTCTCCACTCCAGACCCATATCTCCACCCCATGCCCATATCTCCACTCCAGGCCCATATCTCCAACCCACGCCCATATCTCCACCTCCAGGCACATATCTCCACCCCATGCCCGTATCTCCACTCCAGTCCCATATCTCCACTCCCGGCCCATGTCTCCACCCCATGCCTATATCTCCACTCCAGTCCCATATCTCCACTCCAGGCCCATATCTCCACTCCAGAACCATATCTCCACTCGGCCCATATCTACACTCCAGGCCCATATCACCACCTCCAGGCCCATATCTCCACTCCAGGCCCATATCTCCACCTCCAGGCCCATATCTCCACTCCAGACCCATATCTCCACTCCAGGCCCATATCTCCACTCCAGGCCCATATCTCCACTCCAGGGCCATATCTCCACTCCAGGCTCATATCTCCACTCCAGGCCCATATCTCCACTCCAGGGCCATATCTCCACTCCAGGCTCATATCTCCACTCCAGGCCCATATCTCCACTCCAGGGCCATATCTCCACTCCAGGCCCAGATCTCCACCTCCAGGCCCGTATCTCCACTCTAGTCCCATATCTCCACTCCAGGCCCATATCTCCACCTCCAGGCCCATAACTTCACTCCAGGCCCATAACTCCACTCCAGGCCCATATCTCCACCTCCAGGCCCATATCTCCACTCCAGGGCCATATCTCCACTCCAGGCTCATATCTCCACTCCAGGCCCATATCTCCACTCCAGGGCCATATCTCCACTCCAGGCCCAGATCTCCACCTCCAGGCCCCTATCTCCACTCTAGTCCCATATCTCCACTCCAGGCCCATATCTCCACCTCCAGGCCCATAACTTCACTCCAGGCCCATAACTCCACTCCAGGCCCATATCTCCACCTCCAGGCCCATATCTCCACTGCAGACCCATATCTCCACTCCAGGCCCATATCTCCACTCCAGGCCCAGATCTCCACTCCAGGCCCAGATCTCCACTCCAGGCCCAGATCTCCACCTCCAGGCCCCTATCTCCACTCTAGTCCCATATCTCCACTCCAGGCCCATATCTCCACCTCCAGGCCCATAACTTCACTCCAGGCCCATAACTCCACTGCAGACCCATATCTCCACTCCAGGCCCATATCTCCACTCCAGGACCATATCTCCACTCCAGGCTCATATCTCCACTCCAGGCCCATATCTCCACCTCCAGGCCCATAACTTCACTCCAGGCCCATAACTCCACTCCAGGCCCATATCTCCACTCCAGTCCCATATCTCCACTCCAGTCCCATATCTCCACCCTAGGCTCCTACCTCCCCTCCAGGTTCCTATCTCTCCTCCAGGTTCCTCTCTCCACTCCAGGTTCCTATCCCCACTCCAGGCCCATATCTCCACTCCAGGCCCAGATCTTCACTCCAGGCCCAGATCTCCACTCCAGGCGCAGATCTCCACTTCTAGGCCCATCACTCCATCTCTAGGCCCAGATCTCCACTCCAGGCCCAGATCTCCACTCCAGGCCCATAACTCCACCTCCAGGCCCATATCTCCACCTCTGGGCCCAGATCTCCATCCCCACGCTCCCTCCCTCTATTCCCTTCCAGGACTCACCAACACACGCCATGATGATGACCATGAGCGACATGGTGCTGCCGGTGCAGACAGGCGGCCGCGCCCCAGCTCAGCTCAGCAGCGCACAGGATGTTATTTGGCGCCCTGCCCATGCAGTTTACATGTTGACCACATCATGGGAGGGTGACGTACGCAGGCTTTTTCTACCTTGCATGAGGCCCAGTGGGTGCTCGCTCAAGAGCGGAACATGGCTTCCTGGAAATTGCTCTCACTAGAATTGACACCTCGCGTCCTTCACTATGACCAACTCAAAACACGTCTTAGATCCAACCTCCCAAACATGAGATGCCTAAAATCTGTGCTAACATGAAAGACTTTTCATGAATTTTTATTGTTTTTATCTGAGATTCGAACTCTTCTTCCTGTGTAATATGCAAAATATCTAATAGGTATTATTAGTGTTTTCAGAGTCATTGTGACTAATAAACCATTAGAATTGTTCATGCTTGTATTTCTAGTATTACAGCAGAACCAGTTCAAATGATTTAAATTCCCAGGGAAGGATTATGCAATTATTTACAATCTTAGAATTGTACTTTATCAGCAAAAACCACACATGTAAATTCTGGATTTTTGTAGTTTTATCTATAATTTGTCTCATGACTCAAGATTCCAGAGTCCCAACTTTGGAGTTTGCTCTCTCTCTGTCTCTCTGCCTCCCTCATTTTAAATTTTACAGAAATATCCAGTAACATAATGCTATAGAAAATCAAGTTTCCCCCAGCAGGTCGGGAAGCCGAGGTGGGCGGATCAACTGAGATGAGGAGATTGAGAGCAGCCTGGCCAACACAGTGAAACCGCGTCTCTGCTAAAAATTCAAAAATTAGCCATGCCTGGTGGCAGGCACCTGAAACGCCAGCTACTCAAGAGACTGAGGCACGAGAATCGCCTGAACCTGGGAGGCGGAAGTTGCAGTGAGCTGAGATTGTGTCACTGCAGTCCAGCCTGGGCGACAGAGCAAGACTCCGCCTCAAGAAAAAAAAATAGCAAGTAGCCTATAATAACAAATTAGAGGGCTCTGGCTACTAAATTTAAAGGGTTTTATAAGGCTACATGAAGTGCAGCATCCTCAAGAGTGTGGACACAGAGAGCCCCTTAGCAGAAACAGTGTCTAAAATACATCCGTGTACACACAGTCCCTTTAGAGTTGACAAAGGCTGCCGTGTGGTTTAAGGTGGCATAGAATGTCTTCTCAATAAATAATATTAAACCAAAGGGTTACACGTAGGAAAAAATAAATCTAAACTTATTCTCACACTATAAAAACACTTCTTACTTTTTATCTAGTTATTGTACATTTTTTATGATTTATATTTAAAATTGAGAAATAAAAGTCATATACGGTCATCCTTTACTATTCGTGGGTGATTGGTTTCAGGATCTCCACTCAGGTACCAAAATCTGCAGATGCTCAAGCCTCTTACATAAAATGACACAGCATTTGGATATAACCCATGCACATCCTCCTGTATACATGAAATCATCTCTTGATTACTTATAATTCCTGATACAGCCTACACACTGCCTCATTTGTGTCCATTCAACATAGTTTTGCATTTTGAAACTTTGTGGACATTTTCTCTGAATATTTTTGATTTACACTTGGTTCAATAAACACCTGTAAACCCCACAGATATGGAGGAGCGACTGTATATTTATAGTATGAAATATGATGTGTTGATATGTGTCCCCGTGGAGATGAGACTAGCAAGGCTTATGACTCTACAAATGTTTCATCGTGGAATGACTCTGCCAGCTTTCCAGGTTGCAGAGAGTAAGAATATCACTTGTTCATGTGATTCACGATCCTTGGAACCTCCTATGTGCTGCATCTTTGGATGGAAATTGGAGTCCCAGAGACAAATGAGGCTCCACCCTGCTTCCAGAAGCTCAGAGTCCAGGGGTGAGAACCCAGCGGAGAACAGATGGGGTTATGTGGACATGGTAATGATAACAGCGGTTTCTTTCAGCGAATACAGTGTCACATTACCTGAAGCAATGAGGGCAGACATGTTTATTTGAAGAGGAGACAGCTACATTGAAATCACAAAAAATTTTATAAGTTTCACTGCTGACAGAAGGCTGGAAAATAGTCCGAAGAAAGGTGAAACAGCATGAGGGAAGGTGGAACAGCACGTGGGTAAGTGCCACGTCAAGAGGGAGCCTCTTGTATGTTTGGAATTGTGAGTTCCTCAGTGTGATCGCAGCCTCAAGTAGACTAGGAAGTAAGCCAGTTAGGTTGGAGAGGTGGGCAGGGGTCAAGTGAAATGGAGAACTGTGGGCTAAGCAAAGGAGTGTGTTTTCTTTCCAGCAGGCAGTGGGGACCTAGACATTTGTAAGCAAGAGAGAGGCACCAGATTTGTGGCGTGAGGAGGAGCGATGCCCTAAGATGAAGACTCACGCCTTCAGATTCCAGCTGCTGGTACATGGGAGCTGGCAACTCGGTTTTGAGACAGGGCTGTTGTCTCCCTAGAAGACGCCCTCAAGGCCTGACTGTGGTGCTCATGGGCAGGAGACAACTTTGGATCTGGGCTTAGCATTTGGAAGTTCCGTGTACAAGATGGTATCTGTAGGGGGTGTCTTGGGCCTCTGAGAAGGGCGAGTGATTTTTCTCTGTGTGAAAACGCAGTGATCCAACTGTGCGTATGTCACCTCCTCAGGGTCTTGTTCATCAGAGTCCTGGAGAGAGGGAAATGCTGAGTGAGGGAGGGAAATGCTGAGTGAGGGAGGGTGCTCACGTTTTCCAGGACTGTTTGGGAATAACACTAGCCATGAGGCTGGGCCGAGGAGCACCTACCTCGCTGTTGGCTGTTCTGTTCCCTGCAGGCTCTTGGTCCATTACAGCAGCATCTGTAGGAGACGGAAGTCAACAAAAGAGCTCGGAGGGCACTTCTGGGTCCTCATTTCATAAGCAGATACCAACAAACAGGGGGAGGCCATAGGTGCCTGAGGTCCCTCAGTTGCCAACAGCAGACTCAGACATTCTATCTCTCTGAGCTCAAGGACCCATCCCATGAATAGCTCTGAGTTCCCATCCCATTGATTCTGTCTCCCACTTTCTGCCTGTCATGGAACCTTCTCCTGGATGTGAGTGGCTGCAGGGGACATGAGGATACAGTTCAGAATCAGGCAACGGTCTGTGAGCTGAAGGCAGGGGCAGGGAGTCTGGTGCTCTCTCTAGAAAGTCCTGCCTCTGTGGCTCCTGTCTTGGGCCAGGGACCATCCTGCCAGTGAGGAACACACAGCTGTGTGCTCCCATCCTGCTTCCCCACATGGCCCTGAGCTCTCTGGCCTGTGCCGCGTGAGACTTACTTTTTTTGTTGGAGCACCAGAGATGAAGGAGAAAGAAGAGGAGGAGGATGAAGAGGATGATGACCACTGAGGTCCCAATCAGAATGTGCAGGTGTCTGGGGTTACCTGGAAGAAGAGGAGACACCAGTAAGAAGCTAATCATAGCAGTTTCTCTATATGAATTGTCTTGCATTTCTTGATTGACAGGTAACCACTTACAGCATCTCTTTCGGACAAGCACCCAGATGGCGGGAGACCTAGCTTCCTCCTGCTTTCTCAGTTATAGCTCTCATAGTAACCATGGAACGTGCTGAGGATACAACTACTTTAGTTGAGATGTTTGACCCCTTCAAACCTCACATTGAAATTTAACCCCCAGTGTGGGAGGTTGGGCCTCTTGGGAGGTGTTTGGGTCATGGAGGTGGATCCATCATGAACAGATCAATGCTGTCCCAAGGAGACGGGGTTAGCAAGTTCCCTCTCTATTAGTTCCTGGAGAGCTGGTTGTTAAAAAGAGCTTGGAAGCTCCATTGCTCCCCCTCCCCCTTGCTCCCTCTCTTGCCGTGTGATCTCTGTGGTCTCTGCACAGACAGACCCTCCTTCCCTTCTGCCAGAGTGGGAGCGGCCTGAGGCCATCATAAGAAATAGATGCTGGTGCCATGCTTCCAGTACAGCCTGCAGAATGGTGAGGCAAACCAATCTCTTCTTTAGAAGTTACCCAGGCTCAAGTGTTCCTTTAGAGCAACAAAAATGGACTAAGACAGCAAAGTCCTGAGATCAGGAGGATCGTCCCAGAACAGCCTGGGCTGTCTTCCTGTTCTTCCTGGAGGAGGACGTCATGCAGTGCTTTAGCTGAGTGCTTCCTGTGGCTCCAGGGTACAAAACCCAGGCTGGGCTGCTTTCTGGCTTCCCCCAGCTACACTGCAAATGGGGTGACTCCACATGTCTCGAGCAGCTTTTCTGAGCCTTGGGGAACTGGCTCACATTGAAATGTAGGCTTCTGTTGTCACTCGCTGCTTATCTGTTAGTAATGAACCTGCCTATGTAACGTATTCTCTGTGTGTTCTGTCTCCCTGGAGTGACGGTGAGTGATAGGAATTGGCATAGGCCCAGGTGCAGTCCAGGAGGTGTTTAGAGTCTTCTCTGGGAAGACTGGACTGGGATTGATACACAGCGAATGTGCTTTAGGATTTCTACATCCACGGCATTCTTGAGTTAAACAACTTGCATTCTCCAAGAAAAGGAAACAAAAGTGAAATCAATATAAAAAAAGCGAAGTAGAATTCTCTTATGTCAAACAGCCAGAAAATAGTGTTGAAGCCCGTGTGAAATGTGCTACTCTTTGTGATCTCGGGAGACACATGTTAGGCTGCTGTTCTACCTGAGAGGCTGGGGGAAGGACCACCCCCTCGACTATCTATTGCTTCAATACCACCTGTCCTCCTGTGAATTAGTAGGAAAGGGGAGCAGGAGCTAGTGCTGTCGCTGATCTCTGATTCCAAGATCTGGACTCACTCCAAGGAGTATTAGCATTTACCTCCCCATGATCTATCTGTATCTCCACAGGTGATTGGAAGTAGGGGTGAGATGGGGGATTTGGGTGAGGGGGCAAGTTTTTTTTGTGATGACGAGAGCACTTTCTCTATTCCAGGATTTGTGCTGGAGGATTCAGCGGGCTTTCACATTTTCTATATGATCTCATGCTCACAGAAAGCCAAATACGGAAGAGGTTTTAGGCTGATTGCCTAATGGATAAGATAAAGGATCAAAGAAGTAATTATAGAGAAATAGAAAAATGATGATGGGAATTCAGGTGCCTTTGTCATTCGTGTGTGTTTTATTATATTTATGCATTTCTTATTTTTATTTTTTGAGATGGAGTCTCCTTGTGTCACCCAGGCTGGAGTGCAGTGATGCGATCTCCACTCACTGCAACCTCCATCTCCTGGGTTGAAGTCATTCTCCTGCTTCATCCTCCAGAGCAGGAGCTGGGATTACAGGGATGCACCACCATGCTCGGCTAATTTTTGTATTTTTAGGAGAGATAGGGTTTCACCATGTAGAGATAGGGTTTCACCATGTTGGCCAGGCTGGTCTCGAACTCCTGACTTCTTGGAATCCACTGGCCTTAGCCTCCTGCAGTGCTGGGTTACAGGAGTGAGCCACCGTTCACAGACTTGTATACTATGCTATAATAGGTCCCTTCATTTCCACCACCCCTCATATATCTGTCACTCCTTTGCCAGGTATTGATTTATGTGTAGGAGGAATAAATCTCAGAAAGAAATTAATTTAGCAAGGATTAAACAACTAGGAAACTCAAACCCAGCAAGCCCTCCCTGCAAATGATTCTACCTCCCAAGCATAGCTTATATCCATCTGCTTCATCCACTTAGGGTCTAAATCAGCACCACATTTCACCAGTGGGGCGGGAATTGCCTTTTCCACGGTCTCCTAGATTCCAGTTACGCACCTGGGCCTCCCTTATTTTCATGTCAGTCACTATTAATCATGTAGGGATTCCTGGTTACCCCGAGGTGAATCCAAGGGCTGTGAGTGTCAAACACACACTCCTTGTTGCTCCTTAGTTTCCTGTGTACCCAGTGTGCTCTCCGTCTCTCCACAGTCGTCTTGTCATTCTCCCCACTTCATTCCCAGCATTTGAGTCAGAGCCTCTTCCTTCAACATCAGATTGTTTTCACCTTTGTGCCTTCACAGCTGACAGCTGTGTGGAAAATCCTTCCGCCAATCTTTCAGGGGTTCAATCCGTGTTTTTCATTAATGTCACAAATATCTGATTAGTGAGACCTTCTCTGTCACCCAAAATTATACACTCAGCATTATCTATTATTTATTTTGAATTCTGGCTGGGCAAAGTGGCTCACGCCTGTAATCCCAGTACTTTGGGTTGCTGAGATGGTCGGATCACTTGAGGTTGGGAGTTTCAGACAAGCTTGGCCAATATGGTGAAACATCCTCTCTACAAAAAATATACAAAAAGAATTAGCCGGGCATGGTGGCAGTTGCCTGTAATCCCAGCTACTCGAGAGGCGGAGGCAGGAGAATCACTTGGATCCAGGAGACGCAGGTTGCAGTGAGCCAAGATCGTGACACTGCACTGTAGCCTGGAAGACAGAGGGAGACTCTGTCTCAATAAATAAATGAACGAACAAACAAATAGATTTCATACACAGATGCTTCCCAATGGATCATTCATTTATTGGTCCACTTGTGCATTCATTTTCTGCCCTCCCATTTAACCATCTGCAATATCAGTGTCCCAAGAGCAGAGGCCAAATGCATCTTGTTCACCGTTCGTGGAAGGCAGGAGAATGCTGTCCCACCCCAAAATGTCCCTGTCCTGGCCTCCATAGCTTGTGAATATGTTATTTTACATGGAAAGAAGGAATGAAGATTGCAGATGGAATTACGGTTGCTAGTCAGCTGAACTTAAAACAAGGGTATCCTGAATGATTTCCGGGAGATTATGATGGATTTTCATCTTGGTGAACCCAATAGAATCCCCAAGTTTTCAAAAGATAAGGAAGAAGGGAGAGCAGCATTCAGAGAAAGAGGTGTGGTAAGGAAGAAGGGTCTGAGTGATGCCATGTGAGATGTGACCAGCCTTTGTGGGCTTTGAGGAAGGAGGAAGGGGACCAGGAGCCAAGGAACTGGGAGCCTTTATAAGATGGGACAAGTGAGAAGCAGATTCTTGCCTGGAATCCTCAGGCAAGGGAAGGCAGCCTTGCTGTCACCTTGTTTTTAGCCCAGTGAGATGCACTTCATACTTTGAGCTACAGCACTGTAAGATAATTAAAAAGCCGCTTTGTTTTCACCCACGAATCTTGTGGAAATTTGTTATGGCAACAATAGGAAAGGATTCCAACTGCACAGCCTGAGCATGGGGCTGTGGCTGAATGAGTCAGTGAGTCGAAGTGTGCGTGCATGAGCTCTGTTCTCTATTACGGCAAGGCTCTTGCTCTGCTGAGTCAGCCAGGGTTGCTTCATGACCAACAGTAATTCATTCCTTGGCAAGTGGAACTTCTCTAAAACACCTCGCCCTCATCAGATGTTCCCTTCCCTTCCCTCTCTCAAGTCCCCAGGAATTTATCCTCCAGTTAGGAATGCAGGAAGAAAAAACACTGCATGTTTCCTGAGAAGGATGTCAGATTGGCAATCATTCTTCTAGCTTGTAGGAGGTCTCACCTGCAGGACATTAAAGGTTAAGAGACTTCGCTGAGCCCTTTGGTGGCCCTAGATCCCTTTCACTGTTGGAGTGTCTGGAGTTCAGAGATGGTGGAAGACAGGCCCTCATTCACAGAGCTGGGAGGTTTGAGCCAACACTTGCATCCAAGGCTTCCACCTCCCCAGGTTTCCAAAAGCAGAGATAAGAGGGGTCCTTTACTCACCAGATTTGGAGCTTGGTTCTGTGGGTGAAGGCCAACTACTTGAAGGGTTTCCTAGAACACGGGACAGGAGAGATGTGAGGAAATGAGGGTGCTTGTCCTCTACTCAATGGAAATCTTTGAGGTTGGTTCATGGCCAACACTCTGTTATCTAATGTTGGACCCTGGGAGTCTTGGGATCCTCTTCTCCATAATTTTTGTGTGCGATGCCCACTGTCTTGAGACTTGAAGGTATAAAGAGAAAACAGGAGCATCACACTACCTGACTTAGAAATATGTTACAGAGCTGTAGTAAGCAAAACAGCATGACATTGGCATAAAGAAAGGCACATAAAAAATGGAACAGAATGGAGAACACAGATATAATCCATGCATTTACATCCAATGGCTTTTTTTGTGTGTGTGTGTGATAGAATCTTGCTCTGTCATGCAGGCTGGAGTGCAGAGGTGCAATCTCAGCTCAATGCAACCTCCACTTCCTGGATTCAAGCAATTCTCTTGCCTCAAACACCCGAGTAGTGGTATTACAGGCACTGGTCACCATGCTCAGCTAATTTTTGTATTTTTAGTAGAGACGAGGTTTCACTCTGTTGGCCAGCCTGGTCTTGAACTCCTGGCTTCAGGTGATCCATCCGCCTCGGCCTCCCAAAGTGCTGGAATTGCAGGTGTGAGCCACCATACCCAGCCCATTTAATGGACTTTGACAAAGGTGCCGAGAACTTACAATCAGGAAAGGACAGTCTTTTCAATAAATGGTGTGGGGAAAACTGGATATCTACATGCAGAGGAATAAAACTGCATCTATACCTGTCACCTTACACAAAAATCAAATGAAAATGGATTAAAAACATGAGTCTAAGGCCTGAACCTATGAAACATGTAGAAGAAAATAATGGGGAAGACATTTGTCTGACGAAAGACATTTTGTTTAAAACCTTCAAAACACAAGTAATCAAAGCAAAAAATAGACCATTAGGATTACATCAAACCAAGCAACTTCTGCACCACAAAAGATAAACCAAGAAAGTGAAGAGACAACCGACAAAATAGGAGCAAATATTTGCAAACTATTCATCTGAGACGGGATTAATAACTGGAAATATAAGAAGCTCAAACAACTCAATAAAACAATTTAATTCAAAAAAAGAGCAAAAGACATGAGGAGACATTTCTCCACAAACAAAACATAGAAATGGCGATCACGTATATGAAAAAGTACTCGGCATCACTCATCATCAGAGAAATGTAAATTACAATCGCGATGAGTTTTCATCTCATCCCATTAAAATGCCTTTTAGGCCGGTGGCTCACGCCTGTAATTCCGGCACTTCAGGAGGCGGAGGTGGGCGGATCACCTGAGGTCGGGAGACCAGCCTGACCAACATGGAGAAACTCCCTCTCTACTAAACATACAAAAATTAGCTAGGCGTGGTGGCACATGCCTGTAATCCCAGCTACTTTGGAGGCTGAGGCAGGAGAATCAGTTGAACGCGGGAGGCGGAGGTTGCAGTGAGCTGAGATCACACCCTTGCACTCCAGCCTGGGCGACTATGAGTGAAACTCCATCTCAACATAAATAAATAAATAAAATAAAGTAAAGTAAAATGGCTTTTACTGCAAGACAGGCAAAACAAATGCTGGCAAGATGGTAGAGAAAGGAGAACCCTGGTACCCTGTTGGTAGGAATGTAAATTAGTACAACTATTATGGAGAAAAGTATGGAAATTCTTTAAAAAACTAAAAGGAGGCTGGGCATAGTGGCTTATGCCTGTAACTTCAGCACTTTGGGAAACCGAGGCAGGCACCTCACTTGAGGTCAGGAGTTTGAGAGCAGCCTGCCCAAAATTGGGATATCCCGTCTGTGCTAAAAAAATACAAAAATTAGCCAGGCATGGTGGCGTGCACCTGTAATCACAGCTACTAGGGAGGCTGAGTCAGGACAATCATTTGAACCTAGGAGGCACAGGTTGCAATGAGCCAAGATCTCACCACTTAGACTCCAGCTTGGACTAAGGAGGGAAACTCTTTCTCAAAAAAGGAAAAAAAAAAAAGAGAACTTTCATAGTGTCCAGCAATTTCACTACTGGGTTTATATCCAAAGGAAAGGACATCAGTGTATCGAAGTGATATCTGCACTCATATGACTGTTCCAGCACTGTTCACAGTAGCCAAGATGTGGAGTCAACCTACCTGCCTATCAGTGGGTGAATGGATAGAGAACTGTAGTACACACACACGGTGGAGACTACTCATCCATAGAAACAATAACATCCTGTCATTTGCAGCCACATGGATGGAACTGGAGGTCATTACAAAGATTCCCATTTCTCACCACATGCAGGAGATAAAAGGTGGATCTCATGAAGGTGGAGAATACAATGGTGGACACCAGAGGCCAGGAAGGGAAGGGTGGAGGGTAACAAAAAAAAGAATATAGATGTATTTATTTATTTAGAAACAGAGTCTCTCTCTGTCTCCCAGGCTGCAGTGCAGTGGCATGATCTCGGCTCAGTGCAACCTCTGCCTCCTGGCTTTAAGTGCTTCTCCTGCCTCAGCCTCCCAAGTAGCTAGGACTACAGGTGCATGCCGGCATGCTCGGCTAATTTTTCTTGTCTGTTTAGTAAAGATGAATTTCCCACATGTTGGCCAGGGTGATCTCGAGTTCCTGATCTTAAATGATCCACCTTCCTTGGCCTCTCAAAGCGCCGAGATTACAACCGTGAACCACCACACCCAGCATATAAAGGTATTTATGACCACTAGATTTTACTTTTAAAAATGGTAAAGGTGGTAAATTATATAGTTACATTTAACCTCAATAAATATTTTTGAAAATGAAAAGAAAAGGGTGTAGGGGTTGCTGGTGATGACATCTCTCTGTGTGGGTGAGAGGCCATGATGGGCTTCTGGGAAATGGATAAGATTGAGGGGCTGAGGGAACCTCTGATCTCCCGAAACTAAGCCCAGTCTCCCCTTCTCTGGGTCTGTCCTGACCGCTTTCTCCATCTGCCTGGGTGCCTGGAGCCCTGATCGGAGGCCTCCATGCAGGCCATGAAGGAGGGTTTGGAGGTGCCCTGTCTGCCATCCTGCGCCCTGACTCCGCCCTCACACCTGCTGTGTCTTCTCTCTGCATCTGTCCATGCTTTTCTCCATCATCAGCAGGAAGCTCCTTAGCTAAGGATTTAGGATCATAGGACATGAGAGAGATATGGGCTTTTCTCACCTGTGACAGAAACAAGCAGTGGGTCACTCGGGTCTGACAACTCGTAGGGAGAGTGACGGAAAGAGCCAAAGCATCTGTAGGTCCCTCCGTGGGTGGCAGGGCCCAGAGGGAAATCTGCCTGGAATGTTCTGTTGACCTTGCGCACTGCAGGGAGCCTACGTTCATGGGCTCCCCCCTCCCTGGATAGATGGTACATGTCATAGGAGCTCCGGGAGCTACAGGACAAGGTCACGCTCTCTCCTGCCTGAACCTTGGGGCCCGGCTGGGCTGAGAGAGAAGGTTTCTCATATGGACCTGGAAGGAGAAGAGGCAGTTTCCTCAGGGAGGTTCTTCCTTGTCATAGCTCCCCTCATACCTGAGCTGAGAACTCACTCCCCTGCTCTATGACCTAATGCTCTCTCTCTCTCTCTCACCCTCCACCCCATCTCTCTTCATATCTGTTTCCTCCTTCTACCTTTTCTGTCTCTCTAGGTCTATGACCTCAATTCCCCACCCTGAGGTATGTTTTCCCTTTTTGGATTGTTTTATTCTCTCTGACCCTCCTTGGATTGGTTGACTTGATCTTCCTTTTTCTTTAATTTTGAGTCTCTCACTTTCTGTCTTGTTCATAACTTTCTGCACATTTCTATCTATTAATCTATTTTGTGTCTATCTACAAATTATCTATCATCTATATTTATGTATCACTTATCTATCTCTCTATCAATTGTCTGTCTGTCTATCTATCCATCAATCATCTATTATCTATATATGTATCATCTATCTCTCTCTCTATTACCTCTCTGTCTGCCTCTCTGTCTCTATTTATGTATCATCTAAGTATATATCTATGTGTCTATCATCATCATCGTCATCTCTATGTATCATCTATCAGTCATCATCTATGTATCTATAACCAATCCATTATCTATCATCTACCTATTTATCATCTATCTACGTCTATCTATCCATCTATCATCTCTCTCTCTCCGTCTCCTTGTCTTTCTCTGCCTCTCAGTCTCTCTAGTTCTATTTGGAATCTCTGCAATCCATCCCCACATATTTATCTTTCTCTGTCTTTGTGTCCCTCCCTCAGGGTTCTGATTTTGGGGCTTTTCTCTCCTCCTTTCCATCATTCTCTCCACTCTGCCCTCTTTTCTTTCTTTTTATGTGTCTGTGAATCTCTTAATCTCCTTCTTCTGGCTCATTTTGTGTGTGTTTATGTCTTTGCTTTTTGGTGTCCCTGATTTTTCTCTGTGTCTCTCAGCGATCCTATCATATGTGGGATTATTTGGAATATGAGCCTCAGAATCCAGTCTGGGGACCCCAAGTTCACACAGCATACAGGGGTTGGTGTTCAGGGGCCATGATATCCTGGGATGATTACTCTCCATTGCATGGAAGGCAGAGGTGTCAGAATAAACACGGCATCTGTAGGTGGCACAAGGCCTGAGGCCACAGGGCCCAACTCAGGTCAGAAATATGGGTGTCCTTGGGTTCTTCTGGTAGGAACACTTTGTGGAGGTAAAACAGAAATGAAACTTCTAACCTGTGCCAGGTCTCTGAGCAAAGTCAGCATGGAAGGACACCTCTCTCTGGGACATGTCTGTCTGTCTGAGTGTCTCCTTTACCTCTTTCTCTCTTTTCTACCTCCCTGTATGGCCCCTGTGTCTGTCCTCTGTTATGACAACTGTTCTGTACTTATGTCTCCTGTTTCTCTGTCTCTGTTGGTACAGACCTCACCAAGTCACTCTCTTTCCGTAAGAATCCCACACTTATCTTCCTCATGACCACCTGGGGGTTCCAAGTCCTGGATCATTCACTCTGTGTCCCAGTGACAATGAGAACAATGTCTAGACACTCTCACCTGTGACCACGATGTCCAGGGGATCACTGGGAGCTGACAACTGATAGGTGGTGTGAGTAACAGAACCGTAGCATCTGTAGGTCCCTGCAAGGGCAAGCATCATGGGACCGATGGAGAAATTGGCCTTGGAGACCCCATCATGGATCTGTCCAACGAGGCGTGAGGGGTCCTTAGAGATCCCCTCTTTGTGCAGAAAGAAGTGCTCAAACATGATATCTGACCAACATTGCAGGATGACTCTCTCTCCTGATTTCACCAGGGGACCTGGGTGGGCCAGGAGGGAAGGTTTTCTGTGGTTTCCTAGAAAGAGAAGTTGTGAGTTTAGAAGGCATCTCTCTTTATCATCCCATCCATGGCACCTGGAATGAGTGAGGGTTCCCCTCCCCGTGTCTGTCTCTCTCCTCCCTCTCTGTGTCTCCGTGTCTTTTCTGTGCCCATATCCCCTGGTGCAGGTGCCTCCATCTGTCTTCCTCCCTCTTCTCTGTCCCTCTGTCTCCAGTAGCCCCTGACTCCCTTGCCACTGTGAAGACAGCCTCATCTCTTGGGCTGTTGTATCTGTTTCCCACTAATCTCTTTCCTGCTGTCTATGTGGGGGTGGAAGAGGACAGGCTGCATGTCCAGGCTCTTAGCAGCCTGAATCAATCTCTTTTGAACAAATCCCCAGTTCAAGTGATTCTCTTGCCTCAGCCTCCCCAGTCGTTGGATTACTCGCGCCCACCACCACATCTGGCTATCCTTGTTTGGTTTCCTAACTTGTCCTTGACCTGGGTTCCTGTGTTGGTTTCCTGTTGCTGCTGCAGAAAATTACCACAAACATGGCAGCGGGAGAGAACACACTGACCCCTTCCACTTCTGGAGACAGAAATTGGATCCAGTTCTCCCTGTGCTGAAATCAAGGTGTCTACAGGGCTGCGTTCCCTCTGGAGAATCAGCGAATCAGTTCTCTTGACTTCTCCAGCCCTTAGAGGCCACCTGCATTCTGTGACTAGTGGTCTTTCTCCACCTTCAAAGCCCGCAGTGGCTGATAGCGTCTCCCTCCCACTACACTGCTCTAATCCCCACTCCCCTCTTCCTCCACCTCTCATGTGGACCCTTGTGATTACACTGAGCCCAGTGGGACAGTCCAGGCTGTCTCCCCATCTGAAGGTCAACTCATCAACAACCTGAGCTCCACCTTCCCCTTCAGTCCCCTGCCCTGTAACATAAATAGTCACAGGCTCCAGGGATTACAATGTAGCCATCATTGGGGACAGTGATTCTTCCCACCACAGCACCCATTTCCCCTGTATTCAATCTCCCTTGACCCCAAATACAGTCAGGGCCTGGGTGATGGGACCCTGACGGACACCCCCACCAGAAGCTCTGGGATTCAGGAGGTGGGACAGTGAGAAGCCCAGACGGAAAGCCTCTGACCTGTGACCATGATCACCACGGGGTTGCTGGGTGCCGACCACCCAGTGGGGGAGTGTGGGTGTGAACCCCGACATGTGTAGTTCCCTGCATGTGCTGTGGTCACAGGGCTCATGTTGAAGCTCTCCTGGAATATTCTGCCATGGAAGATGGGAATGTGGATTCTGTCTTCTTTGTATAGCATGAAATTGTTAAACCTATGACGATAGTGACACCGAAGAGTCACGTGTCCTCCTCGAGGCAGCACAGCGCTGGGCCAGGCAGACAGGAAGGGTTTGTCCTGACCACCTGGGGGAGAAGGAGGCACTGCCTTAGAGAGGAGGATGTGGAGCCGCCCCTCACTCCCAGTGCCCAGAAGATTCTCCCCATTTCCACTTTCTAAGGCTCCTACCACACCTGGGTGCCCAGGGCTACAGGAAGGACCCATCCTGCATAGACTTGGCGTCTCCCTACAACAAGTGTCAGCTGAGAACTTTGAGCAAGTTGCTGGAGAAGCAACTCTTACTAGATTTTAATACTGCAAAATTACTCATATAAAACAACACAAAGTAGACACGGCATGGAGGGCAAGTCCTATGTGAATGGAATATCAGCCAATTGATGAACTGAGCCCCCATCAGAGGATTTGGAATGTCAGGGCCATGGCTGTGGTTTCCTCACCTTTTCTGGTAGAAAGACCGCAGCCACACTGCAGCCCCTACCATCACGGAAACGCTGGAGGGTGTGAGTTACACCTTTGTCCTCAGAGGACCTGCTGTTCCTAGCACTGCTTCCCTCTCTTTCTCTGCTGCTGACACCACTTCCTCCCTGCACACCCATCTTGGAGCACCCTAGTCTCACCCCAGTCTTCACAGAGCTTGACTCAGGAAAGGGAATGAAAGGCCGGGGAAGGCAAGGTCAGAAATGTGGGCCGAGCATCCGAGGGTCCCCTCTTCCTAGTGTATGAGAGACTCCCCGACAGGACTTCCCTCCCATTTCAGGAAAATCCTCTTATGTGGGGAGATGACACCCTAAGGTTTGGGGAAGGACTCACCCATGTGTGGACCGGCCCTCTGGACCAAGAACAACCCTAGAAAGAAAGATCATGATGGACCATCCATCTGCAGGCAAACCAGGGCACCCTGCTGCCCCCACTGGGCTGTGCGTCTTGGCAGCCAGGCCCTTGCTGGGCTGAAGGTAAACTCACCCTCGCTGCCTACCTGCCCCCAGGAACAAGGATCTCGGCTGTGCAGAGACTGAGCCTCCAGGCCCAGATCTCTACCTCCAGGCCTAGATCTACACAACAGGCCCAGATCTCCACTCCAGGTCCGTATCTCCACTCCAGGCCCATATCTCCTCTCCAGGCTGGTAAGTCCACTCCAGGCCCATATCTCCACTCCAGGCTCCTATCTCAACTCCAGGCCCATATCTCCTCTCCAGGCTGGTAAGTCCACTCCAGGCCCATATTTCCACTCCAGGCTTCTATCTCCTCTCCAGGCCCATATCTCCTTTCCAGGCTTGTATGTCTGCTCCAGGCCCGTATCTCCACCCCAGGCCCATATCTCCACTCCAGGATCATATCTCCACTCCAGGCCCAGATCTCCACTTCATGCCCTTAACTCCACCTCCGGGCCCATAACTCCACCTCTAGGCCCATATCTCCACTCCAGGCCCATATCTCCACTTCAGGCCCATATCTCTACTGCAGGCCCATAACTCCACCTCCAGGCCCATATCTCCACTCCAGGCCCATCGCTCCACTTCTAGGCCCATCACTCCACCTCTAGGCCCACATCTCCCCTCCAGGCCCATATCTCCCCTCCAGGCCCATCTCTCCACCCCAGGCACATATCTCCACCCCAGGCCCATATCTCCACTCCAGGCCCAGATCTCCACTCCAGGCACATATCTCCACCCCAGGCCCCTATCTCCACTCCAGGCCCAGATCTCCACTCCAGGCCCAGATCTCCACTTCAGGCCCATAACTCCACCTCTAGGCCCATAACTCCACCTCTAGGCCCATATCTTTACCTCCAGGTCCAGATCTCCATCCCCTCACTCCCTCCCTCGATTCCCTTCCAGGACTCACCAACACACGCCATGCTGACGACCATGAGCGACATGGTGCTGCCGGTGCAGACAGGCGGCTGCGCCCCAGCTCAGCTCAGCAGCGCACAGGATGTTATTCGGCGCCCTGCCCATGCAGTTTACATGTTGACCACATCATGGGAGGGTGACGTACGCAGGCTCTTTCTACCTTGCATGAGGCCCAGTGGGTGCTCGCTCAAGAGCGGAACATGGCTTCCTGGAAATTGCTCTCACTAGAATTGACACCTCGCGTCCTTCACTATGACCAACTCAAAACACGTCTCAGATCCAACCTCCCGAACATGAGATGCCTAAAATCTGTGCTAACATGAAAGACTTTTCATGTATTTTTATTGTTTTTATCTGAGATTCAAACTCTTCTTCCTGTGTAATATGCAAAATATCTAATAGGTATTATTAAGGTTTTCAGAGCAATTGTGACAATAAACCATTAGAATTTTTCATGATTGTATTTCTAGTATTACAGCAGACCCAGTTCAAATGATTTAAACTCCCAGGGAAGGATTATGCAATTATTTACAATCTTAGAATTGTACTTTATCAGCAAAAATCACAACATGTAAATTCTGGATTTTTGTAGATTTATCTAGAATTTGTCTCATGTCCCAAGATTCCAGAGTTCCAACTCATGGTTTGCTCTCTCTCTGTCTCTCTGCCTCCCTCATTTTAAATTTTACAGAAATATCCAGTAACATAATGCTATAGAAAATCAATTTCCCCAGCACTTTGGAAGCCGAGGTGAGTGATCAACCGAGGTCAGGAGTTTGAGACCAGCCTGGCCAATATAGTGAAACCATGTCTCTGCTAAAAATACAAAAATTAGCCATGCCTGGTAGCAGGCACTTGTAATGCCAGCTATTCAAGAGGCTGAGGCACGGAATCCCTTGAACCTGGGAGGCGGAAGTTGCAGTGAGCCGAGATCGTGCCACTGCACTCCAGCCTGGGCAACAGAGCGAGACTCTGCCTCAAGAAAAATAAAAAAAGCATAGCAAATAGCCTATAATAAATAACTAGAGGACTCCAGCTACCAAATTTTAGGGGTTGTATAAGGCTGCATAAAATGCAGCATTCTCAAGAGAGTGGACAGAGAGAGAGCCACTGAGCAGAAAACAGTGTCTAAAATACATCCGTGTACACACAGTCCCTTTATAGTTGACAAAGGCTGCCATGTGGTTTAAGGTGGAATAGAATGTCTTCTCAATAAATAACATGGGCCCAAGGGTTACACATAGAGAAAAATATATCTAAACGTATTCTCACACTATAAAACACTTGTTTATTTTATCTTGTTATTGTAATTTTTTTATGTTTTATATTTAAAATTGAGAAATAAAAATTATATACAGTCATCCCTCACTATTCGTGGGTGATTGGTTTCAGGATCTCCACTCAGATAGCACAATCTGCAGACGCTCAAGCCTCTTACATGAAATGGCACAGCATTTGCAAATAACCCATGCACATCCTCCTGTGTACATGAAATCATCCCTTGATTATTTATAATTCCTGATACAGCCTACACACAGCTTCATTTGTGTCCATTCAACATAGTTTTGCTTTTTGAAACTTTGTGGATTTTTTCTCTGAATATTTTTGATTTATATTTGGTTCAATAAACACCTGTAAATCCCACAGATACAGAGGACCGACTGTATATTTATAGTATGAAAGATGATGTGTTGATATGTGTCCCCGTGGAGATGAGACTAACAAGGCCTATGACTCTACAAATGTTTCATCATGGAATGACTCTGCCAGCTTTCCAGGTCTGCAGAGAGTAAGAATATCACTTGTTCATGTGATTCACGATCCTTGGAACCTCTTATGTGCTGCATCTTTGGATGGAAATTGGAGTCTCAGAGACAAATCAGGCTCCACCCTGCTTCCAGAAGCTCCGAGTCCAGGGGTGAGAACCCAGTGGAGAACAGTTGGAGTTATTTGGACATGGTAATGATAACACTGGAAACTTTCAGCCAAAAAAAGAGTCACCTAAAGAATGAAGGCAGACATGTTTATTTGAAGAGGAGAGAACTACACTGAAATCAAAAAAATTTTATAAGGTTTGCTGATGCCAGAAGGCTGAAAAATAGTCTGAGGAAAGGTGGAACAGCACGAGGGAAGGTGGAACAGCACGTGTCTAAGTGCCGTGTTAAGAGAGAGCCTCTTGTATGTTTGGAATTGTGAGTTCCTCAGTGTGATTGCAGCCTCAAGTAGACTAGGAAGTAAGCCAGTTAGGTTGGAGAGGTGGGCAGGGGTCAAGTGAAATAGAGAATTGTGGGCTAAGCAAAGGAGTGTGTTTTCTCTGCAGCAGGCAGTGGGGACCTTAGACATTGGTAAGCAAGAGACAGGCACCAGATTTGTGGTGTGAGGAAGAGTGATGCTCTAAGATGGAGACTCACGCCTTCAGATTCCAGCTGCTGGTACATTAGAGCTGGCAAGCTGGGTTTGAGACAGGGCTGTTGTCTCCCTAGAAGATCCCATCAAGGCCTGACTGTGGTGCTCATGGGCAGGAGACAACGCTCTGGGCTCAGCATTTGGAAGTTCTATACACACGCTGGTATCTGTTGAGGGTCTCTTGCTCCTCTGAGAAGGGCCAGTGATTTTTCTCTGTGTGAAAATGCAGTGATCCAACTGTGCGTATGTCACCTCCTGAGGGTCTTGTTCATCAGAGTCCTGGAGAGAGGGAAATCCTGAGTGAGGGAGGGTGTTCACATTTTTCAGGACTATTTCGGAATAAGACTGTATCCATGAGGCTGGGCTAGGAGGACCTACCTCCCTGTTCACTGTTCTGTGTCCCGCAGGCTCTTGGTTCATTACAGCAGCATCTGTAGGAGACGGAAGCAATCAAAACAGCTGGGAGGGCACTTCTGGGTCCTCATTTCATGAACAGATACCAACACACAGGGGGAGGCCATAGGTGCCTGAGGTCCCTCAGCTGCCAACAGCCAGACTCAGACATTCCATCTCTCTGAGTGCAAGACCCCATTCCATGAATAGCTGTCAGTTCCCATCCCATTGATTCTATCTCCCACTTTCTGCCTGTCATGGAATCTTCTCCTGGATGTGAGTGGCTGCAGGGGACGTGAGGATACAGTTCACAATCAGGCAACGGTCTGTGAGCTGAAGGCAGGGGCAGGGTGTCTGGTGCTCTCTCTAGAAAGCTCTGCCTCTGGCTCCTGCCTTGGGCCAGAGACTTTCCTGCCAGTGAGGAACACACACCTGCGTGCTCCCATCCTGCTTCCGCACAGGGCCCTGAGTTCTCTGGCCTCTGCTTCGTGAGGCTTACTTTTTTTTTGGAGCACCAGCGATGAAGGAGAAAGAAGGGAAGGATGGTAAAGAGGATGATGGCCACTGAGTACCTAATCACAGCATGCAGGTGTCTGGCGATACCTGGAGGAAGATGGGAATCCAATAAGAAGCTAACCATAGCAGTTCCTCTTTGTGGATTGTCTCTCATTTCTTGGTTGCCAGGCAACCACATAAAACACCTCTTTAAGACAAGCACCCACGAGGCGGGAGACCCAGCTTTCTCCTGCTTTCTCCGTTATAGTTTTCATAATAACAATAGAATGTGCTGATGATACAACTGCTATTGTTTCAATGTTTGACCCCTCCAAACCCCACTTTGAAATTTAATCCCCAGTGTGGGAGGTTGTGCCTATTGGGAGGGGTGTTTTGGTCATGGGGGTGGATCCATCATGAATAGATTAATGCTGTCCCCAGAGGACGGGGTTAGCAAGTTCTCCCTCTATTAGTACCCTGGAGAGTTGATTCTTAAAAAGAGCTTGGAAGCTCCATCACACCCCCTTTCTCCCTCTCTTGCCATGTGATCTCTGTGGTCTCTGCACACGCAGGACCCCCTTCTCTTCTGTCAGTGTGGGAGCAGCCTGAGGCCGCAGCCAGAAATAGATGGTAGTGTCCTGCTTCTAGTACAGCGTGCAGATCAGTGAGCCAAACACATCTCTTTTCTTTAGAAGATACCCAGGCTCAAGTGTTCTTTTATAGCAACAAAAATAGGCTAAGACAGCAACATCCTGAGATCAGGAGGAACGTCTCAGAACAGCCTGGGCTGTCTTCCTGTTCTTCCTGGAGGAGAACATCATGCAGTGCTTTAGCTGAGTGTTCCCTGTGGCTCCAGGGTACAAAACCCAGGCTGGGCTGCTTTCTGGCTTCCCCCAGCTACAGTGCACATGAAGTGACTCCATGTGTCCTGAGCAGTTTTTCTGAGCCTTGAGGGACTGGCTCACCCTGAAAGGAAGGTTTCTGTTGTCACTCGCTGCTTATCTATAAGTAATGAACCTGCCTATGTAATGTATTCCCTGTGTGTTCTGTCTCCCTGGAGTGATGGTGAGTGATAGAAATTGGCACAGCCCCAGGTGCAGTATGGGAGGTGTTTAGAGTCTTCTCTGGGAAGACTGGACTGGGATTGATACACAGTGAATGTGCTTTACAGTTTCTACATCCACAACCCTCTTGACTCAAACAAATTACATTCTCCAAGAAAAGGAAAAAACAGTGACATTGAAATCAACATAAGTGAGGTTGAGCTGTCTTATATCAAACAGCCAGGAAATAATGATGAAGCTCGTGGGCAACATGCTACTTTTGTCATCTTGGGAGTCAGATATTAGGCTGCTGTTCCACCCGAGAGTCTGGGGGAAAGACCACCCCCTCCATCATCTGTTGCTTCAATACAGCCTGTCTTTCTGTGAATTACTCCAAAAGGTGACCAGGAGATAGTGCTGGCACTGGTCTCTGAGTCTACGATCTGAACTCCAAAGAATATTAGTTTTTACCTCCCCATGATCTATCTGTATCATTAATGTGATTGGAAGTAGGGGTGAGGTGGGGGATTTGGGTGAAGGGGCAAGTTTTGTGCCATGAACAGATCACGTTCTCTATTCCAGGACCTGTGCTGGTGGGTTTCACATTTTCCATATGATCTCATGCTCACAGAAAGCCAAATAAGGAAGATGTTTTCGCCTGATTTTCTTACGGATAGGATAAAGGATCAAAGAAGTCATTATAGAGAAATAGAAAAATGATGATTGGAATTGGTGTGCCTTTGTCATTCGTGTATGTTATATTATATTTATGTATTCTTTATTTTTATTTTTTGCCATGGAGTCTCACTCTGTCACCTAGGGTGCAGTGCAATGACGCGATCTTGGCTCACTGTAACCTCTCCCTCCCTGGTTGAAGCCATTCTCCTTCTTCAACTTCCCGAATAGCTGGTATTACAGGCACGCGCCACCACCCCCAGCTAGTTTTTGTATATTTAGTAGAGATGGGGTTTCACCATGTTGTCCAGGCTGATCTCGAACTCCTGATCTCACTTGATCCAGCCTCCTCAGCCTCCCAAAATGTTGGGTTACAGGTGTGAGCCACCGTTCAGAACCTTGTGTGTTATATTATAATAGGTCTCTTCCTTTGCACCACCCCTCATGTATCTCTCACTCCTCTGCCAAGTATTGATTTACATGTAGGAAAAATAAATCTCAGAAAGAAATCAATGAAGTGAAGATTAAACAATTAGGAAAAATCAAACCAGGCAAGCCCTCCCTGCAAATTACTCTACCTCACAAACACATCTTGTGTCCATCTTTCATTCATTTAGTGTCTAAATCAGCACCACATTTCACCAGGGGGGCGGGAATTGCCTTTTCCACAGTCTCCTAGATTCCAGTTATGCACCTGGGCCTCCCTTATTTTCATGTCAGTCACTATTCATCATGTAGGGATTCCCAGTTAGCCCCGAGGTAAGTCCAATGGCTGTGAGTATCAAACACACGCTCCTTGTTCCTCCTTAGTTTCCTGTGTACCCAGAGTGCTCTCTGTCTCTCCACAGTCGTCTTGTCATTCTCCCCATGTCATTCCCAGCATTTCAGGCAGAGCCTCTTCCTTCCACATAACATTGTTTTCACCTTTGTGCCTTCACGGCTGACAGCTGTGTGGAAAATCCTTCCGCCAATCTTCCAGGGGTTGATCTATTTTTTTCATTAAGGTCACAAGTATTATTTGATCAGTGAGAACTTCTCTGTCACCCGAAATTATACACTCAGCATTATCTATTATTTCTTTTAAAATACGGCTCGGCGCCTTGGCTCACGCCTCTAATCTCAGCACTTTGGGAGGCTGAGACGGGCGGATCCCTTAAGGTTGGGAGTTTGAGATAGCCTGGGCAACATGGTAAAACCTTGTCTGTACTAAAAAAAAATACCAAAAAAAAATTAGCCAGGCGTGGTGGGACATGGGTGTAATCCCAGCCTCTCGGGAAGCTGAGTGTAGAGAATCGCTTTAACCTGGGAGGTGGAGGTTGCGGTGAGCCGAGATCCCGCCACTGCACTCCAGCCTGGGGCACAGAGGGAGACACCGTCTCATAAAAACAACCAATCAATCAATCATTCTCATGCACAGATGCTTCCCAATGGATCATTCATTTATTGGTCCACTGGTGCATTCATTTTCTGCCCTCCCATTTAATCCTTTGCAATATCAGTGTCCAAGAGCAGAGGCCAAATGCACCTTGTTTACCATTTGTGGAAAGGATAAGAATGCCGCCCCACCCCAAAATGTTCCTGTCCTAGTCGCCATATCTTGTGAATATGTTATTTTACATGGAAAAAAGGAATGCAGATTGCAGATGGAATTACGGTTGCTAATCAGCTAACCTTAAAAGGAGGGTATCCTAGATGATTTTAGGGAAATTATGATGGATTATCTTGGTGTTTCCAATAGAATGCCAAAGTCCTTAAAAGATGAGGAAGAAGGCAGAGCAGCATTCAGAGAAAGAGGTGTGGACAAGGAAGAAGGGTCTGAGTGATGCCGTGTGAGAGGCGTGACCAGCCTTTGTGGACTTTGAGGGAGGAAGACGGGGACCAGGAGCCAAGGAATGTGGGAGCCTCTAGGAGCTGGGAAAAGTGAGGAAGCAGATTCTTGCCTGGAACATTCAGAGGGAAGGCAGCCTTGCTGTCACCTTGATTTTAGCCCAGTGAGATGATGCATTTCATACTTCTGAGCTACAGCACCATGAGATATTTTTTAAAAATGTGGTTTCCATCCACGAAGCTTGTGGAAATTTGTTATGGCAACATAGGAAAAGGTTCCACACTGCACAGTCTGAGCATGGGGCAGTGGCTGAACGAGTAAGTGGAAGTGTCATGTGCACGGATGAACTACGTTCTCTCTTACTGCAAAGCTCTTGTTCCACTAAGTCAACCAGGGTTGGATCATGACAGACAGGAGCTCATTCCTTGGCAAGTAGAACTTCTCTACAAATACACCACCCTCAAAAATGTTCCCCGTCCTTCCCCTTCTCAAGCCCCCAGGCATTTGTCCTCCCAGTTAGGAATGCAGGCAGAACAAACACAGCATTTTTCCTGAGAAGAATGTCTGATTTGCACTCATCCTTCTACCCTGAGGTCTCAGCAGCAGAAAATTAGAGATTAAGAGATTTCACTGAGCCCTGTGCTGGGCCCAGATCCCTTTCGCTGTTGGAGTGTCTGGGGTTCAGAGACAATGGAAGACAGGCCCACAATCACAGAGCTGGCAGGTGCTGAGCCAACGCTTGAATCCAAGGCTTCTACCTCCCCAGGTTTCCAAAAGCAGAGATAAGAGGGGTCCTTCACTTACCAGTTTTGAAGCTTGGTTCAGTGGGTGAAGGCCAACTACTAGAAGGGTTTCCTAGAACATGGGACAGGAGAGAGGTGTGGCAATGAGGATGCCTGTCTTCTACTCAATGGAAATCTTTGAGGTTGGTTCATGGCCAACATTCTATTATCTAATGTTGGGCCCTGGGAGTCCTGGCATCCCATTCTCCATAATCATTGTAGGTGACACCAACTATCTTGAGACTTCAAGGTATAAGGAGAAAACAGGAGCATCACACTACCTGACTTAAAAATATGTTACAGAGCTGTAGTAAACAAAACAACATGACATTGGCATAAAGAAAAGCACATAAAACAATGGAGCAGAATGAAGAACACGGATGTAATCCACCCATTTACATCCAATGGACTTTGACAAAGGTTCGAAGAATCTACAATCTGGAAAGGACAGTCATTTCAATAAATGGTGCAGGGAAAACTGGATATCTACATGCAGAGGGATGAAACTGCACCTCTACCTCTCACCATACACAAAAATCAGATGAAAATGGATTAATGACTTAAGACCTGAATCCATTAAATGTCTAAAAGGAAACACTGGAGAAATGCTCCAGGACATTTGTCTGAGGGAAGACATTTTGTTTAAAACCTCAAAAACACAAGTAATCACAACAACAACAAAAAAATAGACCATTGGGATTATATCAAATCAAGCAGCTTCTGCACCGCAAAGGAAGCAACCAATGAAGTGAAGAAGAGACAACCCACAGAATGGGAGCAAATATTTGCAAACTATGCATCTGAGATGGGATTAATAACTAGAATATAAAAGAAGCTCAAACACCTCAATAAAACTAATAATTTAATTATAAAATTAGTAAAAGACCTGAACAGACATTTCTCAATGAACAAAACATACAAATGAACATATATACATTGCATATATGAAAAAGTGCTCAGTATCACTAATCATCAGAGAAATGCAAATGAAGTCACAATGAGCTATCATCTCACCCCATTACAATGGGTTTTATCTCAGAGACAGACAAAACAAATGTTGGCAAGGTGGTGGAGAAAGGAGAACCCTGATACACTGTTGATAGGAATGTAAATTAATACAGCCATTACAGAGGAGAAGAATATGGAAGTTCCTTAAAAACTAAAAAGAGATTAGGCACTGTGGCTCACGCTTGTAATCCCAGCACCTTGGGAGGCTGAAGTGGGCAGATCACTGGAGGTCAAGAGTTCGAGACCAGCCTGGCTAACATGGTGAAACCCCGTCTCTACTAAAAATACAAAAA
The DNA here is from genome assembly GCF_000001405.40 of Homo sapiens. NCBI lineage: Eukaryota > Metazoa > Chordata > Mammalia > Primates > Hominidae > Homo > Homo sapiens. Next base: position 109,240 of record NW_016107309.1, on the reverse strand, counting down.
TCAGCCAGGCGTGGTGGCGGGCACCAGTAATCCCAACTACTCGGGAGGCTGAGGCTGGAGAATCACTTGAATCCTGGAGGTAGAGGTTGCAGTGAGCCCAGGTGGTGCCATTGCACTCCAGCTTGGGCAACAAGAGTGAAACGCTATGTCAAAAAAACAAAAAGCATAAAACAAAACCTAAAAAGAGAACATCCAGAGGATCTAGCAATTCCACTAGTGGGTGTAAATGCAAAGAAAAGGACTTCAGTGTATTGAAGTGACATCTGCACTCCCATGACTGTTCCAGCACTGTTCACAGTAGCCAAGATGTGGAGTCAACCTACCTGCCCATCAGTGGATGAATGGATAGAGAGAATGTAGTACATACACACAATGGAGACAACTCATCCATACAAAGAGAAACGTCCTGTCATTTGCAGCCACATGGATGGACTGGAGGTCATTACAAGGATTGCCATTTCTTACTCACATGCAGGATGTAAAAGGTGGACCTCATGAAGGTAGAGAGTAGAATGGTGGATACCAGAGGTTAGGAAGGAAGGGGTGGAGGGTAACAAAAGAAGAATATAAAAGTATTTATTTATTTATTTAGAGACAGAGTCTCTCTGTGTCACCAGGCTGCAGTGCAGTGGCATGATCTCAGCTCACTGCAACCTCCTCCTCCTGGGTTTAAGCCACTCTCCCGCCTCAGCCTCCCAAGTTGCTGGGATTATAGGCGCCTGGCACCATGCCTGGCTAATTTTATTTTTTTTGTCTTTTTAGTAAAGATTGGTTCCCCCATGTTGGCCAGGCTGGTCTCCAGCCCCTGATTTTAAATGATCCACCTGCCTTGGCGTCTCAAAATGCTGAGATTACAGGCGTGAGCCACTGCACACAGCATATAAAGGTATTTATGATCCCTAGATTTTACACTTAAAAATGGTAAAGTTGATAAATTATATAGGTATATTTAACCTCAATCAGCATTTTTTCAAAGGAAAAGAAAAAGTGTAGGGGTTGCTGGTGATGACATCTCTGTGTAGGTGAGAGGCCAGGGTGGGCTTCTGGGAAATGGGTAAGGTTGAGGGGCTGAGGGAACCTCTGATCTCCCCAAACTGAGCCCAGTCTCCCTCCTCTGGGTCTGTCCTGACCACTTTCTCCATCTGCCTGGGTACCCGGAGCCCTTACTGCAAGCTTCCATGCAGGCCATGCAGGAGGGTTTGGAGGTGCCCTGTCTGCCATCCTGTGCCCTGATCCCACCCTCACACCATGCTGCATCTTCTCTCCACATCTGTCCATGCTTCTCTCCATCATCAGCAGGAAGCTCCTCAGCTAAGGCTCTAGGACCATAGGACATGGGACAGACATTGGCTTTCCTCACCTGTGACAGAAACAGGCAGTGGGTCACTCGGGTCTGACCACTCGTAGGGAGATCCATGGAAAGAGCCGAAGCATCTGTAGGTCTCTCCGTGGGTGGCAGGACCCAGAGGGAAGTCGGCCTGGAATGTTCCATTGATGCTGGGCACTGCAGGGAGCCTAAGTTCATGGGCTTCCCCCTCCCTGGATAGATGGTAGATGTCAAAGGAGCTCTGGGAGCTGCAGGACAAGGTCACGTTCTCTCCTGCGCGAACCGTGGGGCCCGGCCGGGCTGTAAGCGAAGGTTTCTCATATAGACCTGGAAGGAGAAGAGGCAGTTTCCTCAGGGAGGTTCTTCCTTGTCACAGCTCCCCTCCCACCTGAGCTGAGAACTCACTGCCCTGCTCTATGGCCTAGTGCTCTCTCTCTCTCTCTCTCTCTCACCCTCCACCCCCAACTCTTCCTGTCGATCCCTCCCTATGTGGTTCCAGCCTGGTGGTGGCATCAGCAGTGCACCCTTGCTGATCTCAGGGTAGCCAACCTTCTTGTTTGGTTTTTTAACTTGTCCTTCACCTGGGTTCCTGTGTTGGTTTCCTGTTGTTGCTGGAGAAAATTATCACAAACATGGCGGCAGGAGAGAACACACTGACCCCTTCCACTTCTGGAGACAGAAATCAGACCCTGTTCTTCCTGGGCTACAATCAAGGCATCTGCAGGGCTGCATTCCCTCTGGAGACTCGGGAGAATCAGTTCCATTGATTTCTCCAGCCCCTTCGTGGCTCGTGGTCTTCCTCCACCTTCAAAGCCCACAGTGGCTGGTGGAGTATCCCACGATGCTGCTCTAATCCCCATTCTCCTCTTCCTTCTCCACTCATATGGACCCTTGTGATTACACTGAGCCCAGTGGGAGGGTCCAGGCCATCTCCCCATCTCAAGGTCAACTCATCAACAACCTGAGCTCCATCTTCCCCTTCAGTCCCCTGCCCTATAACATAGTCACAGGCTCCAAGGATTACAATGTGGCCATCGATGGGGACAGTTATTCTTTCCAACACAGCACCCATTCCCCTGTATTCAATCCCCCTTTACCCCAAATATAGTTGGGGCCTGGATGATCGGACTCTGGTGGACACCCCCACCAGAAGCTCTGGGACTCAGGAGGTGGGACAAGGAGAAGCCCAGACAGGAGCCCTCTGACCTGTGACCATGATCACCAGGGGGTTGCTGGGTGCCGACCACTCAGTGGGGGAGTGCGGGTGAAAACCTCGACATCTGTAGGTCCCTGCGTGTGCTGGGGTCACAGGGCTAATGAGGAAACTGTTCCAGAATATTCTGTTGTAGAGCTCAGGGACAGGGACCCCATCTTTCTTGTACAGCGTGAAGATGTTAAACCCACGACGACAGTGACACCGAAGAGTCACGTGTCCTCCTTGAGGCACCACAGCGCTGGGCCAGGCAGAGCAGAAGGGCTTGTCCTGACCACCTTGGGGAGAAGGAGATGCCGCCTCAGAGAGGAGTATGTTGAGCTGCCCCTCCCTCCCTGTGCTCAGAAGATTCTCCCCATTTCTTCTTTCTAAGGCTCCTACCACACCTGGGTGCCTGGGGCTACAGGAAGGACCCATCCCGCATAGACGTGGCGTCTCCCTACAACAAAAGTGTCAGTTGAGAACTGAGCAGGTGCTGAGTAAGGGACTCTTACTAGATTTTAATACTGCAAGATTAGTTACACCAAACAACACAAAGTAGACATGGGGTGGAGGGTATGACCTTTGTGAATGGAATATTAGCTAATGCCTGAACCACAATAAACAACTGAGCTCCATCAGAGGATTTGGAATGGCAGGGTCGTGGCTGTGGTTCCCCCACCTCTTCTGGCAGAATGACAGCAGCCACACTGCAGCCCCTACCGTCATGGAAACGCTGGAGGGTGTGAGTTACCCTCTTGTCCTCAGAGGACCTGCTGTTCCTAACACTGCTACCCTTCCCTCCTCTGTCGGTGACACCACATCCCCCCACACACCCCAGCTTTGAGCACCTCAGTATCCCGCCTGGGCCACACAGAGCTCAACTCAGCCATGGGGAAGAAAGGCTGGGGAGGGCTAAGACAAAACAGAAGGCTGAGCATACCAGGATCTCCTCTTACTAGTTCATGAGAGACTCCCAGGATCTCCTCTTACTAGTTCATGAGAGACTCCCAGGATCTCCTCTTACTAGTTCATGAGAGACTCCCAGGATCTCCTCTTACTAGTTCATGAGAGACTCCCCCCAGGCCTTCCCATGGTCAGCCCATCAGCCCACCCTCTGTGCTGCCTCCCTCCCATTTCCGGAAAATTCACTTGTATTGGGGTGAAGATGGCAACCCATCATTTGGGGAAGGACTCACCCACGTGTGCCCACACACTCTGGTCCAAGAAGAACCCTGCAAAGAAAGATCATGATGAACTATTCATCTCGGCAGCAACCTACCCTTTCCTCCTGAGCCACTGGGCGCCACGCTGGACTGAAAATTAACTCATCCTCACCACTCACTTGCTTCAGAACATGGCTCTCTGCTGGGGAGACACCCAATCTGCAGGCCCATAGTGTAACCCTGGTGCTCCTTCCCTTCCAGGACTCACCAAGACATGCCAGGATGATGACCGTGGGTGACATGGACATGGTGCAGCTTCTGCTGCCAGGACGCAGTGACTCGGCTCGACTGACCGGTGCAGAGGATGTGGTGAGGGGCCCGGATCGTGCAGTTGACACATTGACCACAACATGTGAAGGGGACATAGGTAGGCTTCTTCTACGTCATATGAGGTTCAAGTGGTGAATCAGTCAAGGGAGGAATGAGGGTTTCTGAAAACTGCAGACTAGACTTGTCACTTCACATCATGCGCAACGGCCAGGCTCAAAACACATCTCAGACTCACTTACCCCTGCACGGGACGATTGAATTCTGCACTCACATGAGGAACTTTTGATGTATTTTTTTTTGTTTCTACCTGAGATTCAAACTCTCCTTGATATGTAATATGCAAAATACCTAATAGGTTTTATTAACACTATAGAGCAATCGTATTAAATAAATCATCATAATTTTCCATGGTTGTATTTTTCCTGTTAAGCCAGAAACAGATAAAATGATTTAAATCCCAGTAGAAAAGACTATATAGTTATTTCGCATCATAGAATTCCACCTTATTAGCAAAAACACAATATGTCAATTGAAGGTCTGGTCGTGTTATCTAGAATTTGTCTTATGACACAAGAGTCCAAATTCACAGTTCCCTGTCTCCCTTTTTGTCTCTCTGTAACGTGTGCTTTTTTTCTCCCTGTGTTGTTTGTGTGTCTTTCTTTCTCTCTCTCATTTGAGGAAAAAATATCAGACTGATAACATCCTCCAACTTGATACTGGAATATTGCAATAACTGAAGGTTGAAATCTACACATTTAATGTGCTGTCATTCTTACAAATGTCTCTTATTTACACCTACCTTTCTGGAGTTTGTAAGAACTTTTTCACTATGCATTTTAAATTTGTAAAACTCATAATTTTTAAAAAGGGATGGGTCTCACTGTTTGCCCAGGGTGGCCTTTACTCATTCTATAAGGCTGGCATCACCCTGATACTAAAGACAGAAAAGAATATTAAACAAAAGAAAACTACATGCCAATATTCCTGATGAGCATAGATGCAAAAATCCACAAAAAATACTAAGAACTGAATCCCGCAGCATATCAAAAAGTGAATCCACCATGATCAAGTCAACTTTATTCTTAGGGTGCAAGGTTGGTTGAACATACACAATCAATACATGTGATTCATCACCTAAACAAAACTAAAAACAAAAACCACATGATCTTCTCAACACACATGTAGAACATACTTTTTACTAAGCATTTCTTCATGTTAAAAGCCCTCAACAAGCTAAGCATTGAAGAAACATAACTCAATATAATAAGAGCCGCCTATGACAAACCCACAACCAACATCATACTGAATGAGTAAAAGCTGGAAGAAGTTCCCTTCATAAGTGAAACAAGACAAGAATGCCCACTCTCACCATCCTATTCAACATAGTACTTGAAGTCCTAGACAGAGCCATCAGGAAAGAGAAAGAATTATAAGGCATCCAAGTAAGAAGAGAGTAGCAGAGAGAGGTAGTCAAATTACCTCTGTTTGAAGATGAGATAATTTCTATACCTAGAAACCCCATAGTCTCTGCCCAAAGGCTCCTACATCTGAGAAACAAACTTCAGCACAGTTTAAGGGCAGAAAGTCAATGTACAGGCTGGGTGTGGTGTCTCAGCCTGAAATCTAGCACTTTGGGAGGGCGAAGCGGGTGGATCACCTGAGGTCTGGAGTTCGAGACCAGCCTGGCCAACATGGCGAAACCCTGTCTCTACTAGAAACACAAATATAGCCGGACGGGGTGGTACGCAACTGTAGTCCCAGCTGCTTGGGAGGCTGAGTCAGGAGAACCGCTTGAACCTGGGAGGCAGAGGTTGCAGTGAGCGGAGATCACGCCATTGCACCTCAGCTTGGGCAACAACAGTGAAACTGCGTCTCAAAAAAAAAGCCAAAACAAATTTAATTAATGAGGAAAAGGGTATTTGTGGTGTCCATCATGATGTTTTCATATAGGTACACATTGTGGAATGGATGAAACAACCTCTTTATCTATTTATTTTTTCACATACTTGTATGTTTTGTGTGTGTGGTGAGAACATGTAAAATCTAATCTCTTAGTAATGTTCAATACACCATATGTTGCTATTAAATGGAGTCACCAAGACATACAATAGATCTCTTGAACCGATTTCTTCTAACTGAAATTTTGCATCCTTTGACCAACATCTCTTCAATCTCTCTCCTTCCCAGGTTCTTTCGACGACCATTTTACTGTTCCTCTAGGTTCCACTTCTTACACTCCACACATGAGATCATGTGGCATTTGTCTTTCTGTGCCTGGATTGTTTCCCTTAACATAATGTCCTCTAAGTTTTTTCACATTGTCACAAATGAGAGGACTTCCTTCTTTGTTGTAAAGGTTGTATAGTACTTCATTACGTTCCTATCGTATACCACGTTTTCTTTGTCCATGCACCCATAGATGGGCAGTAAGGGTGATTCCACATCTTGGCTGTTATGAATAATGCGGCTGTAAACATGGGAATGCAGATATCTCTTCAACATACTGATTCCACTTCCTTTGGATACATGCGCAGTAGTTGGATTGCAGACACATATGGGAATTCTATGTTTAATTTTTTCAGGAACTTCCAGACTGTTTTCCATAATGGTTGTGCTAATTTACATTCCCATCAACTGCATACAAATGTTCCCTTTTCTCCACATCCTCGTTAACCCTTGTTATTTTTTATGTTTTTGATAATGGTCTTTTTTTTTTTTTTTTTGAGACTCAGTCTTGCTCTGTCACCCAGGCTGGAGTGCAGTGGCACAATCTCGGTGTACTGCAACCTCTGCCTCCTGGGTTCAAGCGATTCCCCTGCCTCAGTCTCCAGAGTAGCTGGGACTACAAGTGTGCGCCACCAAACTCTGCTAATTTTTGTATTTTTAGTAGGGATGGGATTTCACCATATTGGCCAGGCTGGTTTCGAACTGCTGACCTCAGGTAATCTCCCTGCCTCGGCCTCCCAAAGTGCCTGAATTACAGGCATGAGCCACCATGCCCAGACTGTTAATGGTCATTCTAAGAGGTGTGAGGTGATATCTCATTCTAGTTTTAATTTTTATTTAGCTGATGTTTAGTAATGCTAATCATTTTTTCATATACCTTTTGGTGATTTGTCTTATTCTTAGAAATGTTTATTCAGATACTTTGCCCATTTTTTTAAGTTGGGTTATTTGATTTCTTACCATTGAGTTGTTTGAGTTTCTTATATATTTTGGATATTAATTCCTTATTAGATGTATGGGTGCAAATATATTCTCCCATTCCATAGGTTGTCTTTCCACTTGTTGAGTTTTTTTTTTTCTTTGCAGAAACTTTCAATTTGATATAATGTTATTTGTCTACTTTTGCTTTTGTTGCCTGGGCCTTTGGGTTAATATCCAAAATGGTTTTGCCCAAGCCAGTGGAGTTTTCCCTTGATTTCTTTTAGTAGTTTTTTTTTTTTTTTAAGATGGAGTCTCACTCTGTTGCCCCGGCTGGAGTGCAGTGGTGCGATCTCGGCTCACTGCAACCTCTACCTCCTGGGTTCAAGTGATTCTCCTGTCTCAACCTCCCGAGTAGCTGAGATTACAGGCACCCACAACCACACCCAGCTGTTTTTGTATTTTTAGTAGAGGCGGGATTTCACCATGTTGGCCATGCTGGTCTTGGAATCCTGACCTTAGGTGATCTGCCCGCCTTGGCCTCCCAAATTGCTGGGATGATAGTCTTTCATCTTACATTTAAGTCATTAATCTATCTTGAGTTGACTTTGTATGTTTTGTGAGGCAAATGTCCACTTCCATTCTTCTGCATGTCTCCCAATCCCATTTATTAAAGAGACTGTTCCTTCTCCATTGTGTGTTCTTGATACATCCCAAAAATTGTTTGACCCTAAATGCGTGCATTTTTTTTCCTGGGCTATGAATCACTTCCATTGGTCTATGTGTCTGTTTTTATGCAAGTACTGTGTTGTTTTAATTACTGTAACTTTGTAATGTAGTTTGTGTTTAGGTAATGTGATTCTTCCAACTTTGTTCCTTTCCCTCTAGATGGCTTTGGTTATTTGAGATCTTTTGTGGTTCCACATGAATTTTAGGACTGTTTTTTCTATTTCTGTAAAAAAAATGTCATTGGATTTTTGATAATGGTTGCATTGAATCACTTTGGATAGAATGGACATTTTAACAACATTAATCCTTCTGATCCGTGAACATGGAATATCTTTCGATTTATTTGTTTATTTCTTGAGTTTTTTCATCAATGTTTTATAGCTTTTGCATACAGATCTTTCTACTCCTTGGGTGAATTTATTCCTGCATGTTTTGTTTTCTGTAGTTATTGCAAATGGGCTTATTTTCTTGTAAACTTTTTTGGATAGTTTGTTGTTAATGTATAGAAACTTTGTTGTTGTTGTTGTTGTTGTTTTGATGATACCCATCCTAAGGGGTATGAAATGGCATCTGGTGTAGTTTTAGTTAGTATTTCCCTAATGATTCGTGATGCTGAATATCTTTTCATGCGTATGTTCTTTGGAGAAATGTCTGTTTCAGTACTTTGCCCATTTTTGAATTGAGTTTATTGTGATTGAGTTTTAGGAGTTGTCTGTATATTCTGGATGTTAATCCCTTACAGGTGGTGTGGTTTGAAAACATTTTCTCCCATTCTGTGGGTTGTCTTTTTACTTTGATAATATCGTCTTAAAAGTTCTTTTTCCTTGCCATGTGAAGTAACTGATGTTGTCTTTTGAGTCACAATATTTCAAAATTTTCATAAAGTCTAACTTGTTTATTTTTTCTGTAGTAGCCTGTGCCGTTGTTGTCACATCTAAAGAATCACTGCCAAATCCGATGTTGTGAAGTTTTCCTTTGTGTTTTCTTCTAAGACTTTAATTAAATTTTATTTGTCAATATTTAGGACTGACAAAAGCTTTTTAACATTCCTGGCACCATCTCAGTTATTGATCTACTCCCAAGATGGATCATTTCAATTAAAACATGTAAAGCATGACCTCACCTGAATGTGTTTGAACTTGCTCTTCTCCCTTTCAAATCGACTCCCTCACTTACATAGTTTGTGTTCAAATGTCAACAAATAAAACATAAAAAGAAATCAATCTTTTCATAGACCCTTTATCTAAAATAGAATAGTAGGTGCCATGACATTTCATCCTTTCATCTTGAATTATTTACTTTTCTACATGAACCAATCCATTCTTCTGTGTGCATGTGTGTGTGTGTGTGTGTGTGTGTAGTTTATCTGTCTACATATAATGTAAACACCAAAAAATAACAGACATTTAGTAATTTTCAAATGAGACTTCAGGAATTAACAATGGCTTGCCATTTTTAGTGTGTTATTATTATTATATTTAGATGAACAGAATTGCCTCAGGAACATGGCCAGGGGCTCATAGTCCAGGAGAACTGTGGCCTGACTCAGGTACATTTTACCTGCAATAACAGCAATTGCAGGTCACTGGAGTCCATCACAATTGGCTGGAGACAAATGTAAGACAAGAATATTTGCAGTTTCCCCAGACTGACACAGTTGCAGGTTCCCCGAAGTAATGAGTCCTGAGACACCTCCAACAAGAGCTAGAAAAGGTATCACTTCAAGAGGAGTTGCAGCCTACTCATTTTAGACAAATGGAGCAAAATTACAGTATCACATCTTTTCCTTTCTCCTTCATAGAATCTGGATGAACAGAACAGAAAGAGTTAATGGAATATAAGATTCCAATTCTCTGGCATGAGAAAATAGACAAGGAAAGGAAGATTCATCTTCATCACATCTCAGACATGCTTGGACACAGGGTCCAAGCACAAAAGAGAAACACATACTTCTTCCCATCCACACTGGGATCCAGGGTCTTCTCCCTCCTGTCAGGCCAGAACTGAGTCTCCACTCCCCAATTTAGTTCCCAGAGATGAAGCCCAATTTTCCTCTGTCTCAAGCTTTGAAGGCCAGCTTTAGCGTGTTCACCATGGATGAATGAAGGTGAGGTCAGAGGTTTGGGAAATGGTCAAGAATGAGGTGAGAAGAGAGCTGTGGAGGCATGGCCCCGGGGAGCTTGGTACCCCCCCATATCCAGAGCCTGTCTGGTCCAGGAGAGTTCCCAACCCTGTGAGCACCAACTCCGGATATTCTGGGCAGTGACCCGAGGGACAGCCTCTTATGAATACAGGCTGTTTTCCTCCAGTGTCTGCTGTGAAACCAGGATGTACAACATGGCCGTGTTCAACCCAACAATGGACTTAGGATTTTGCTGTACGCCAAAACTCAGTGTCCAACTTCCACTCTGTTTAGCTGGAAAAAGAAGGGGTTTGTTCCCATACATCTCACTCCTGTGTTCCTCTTTCAGTCTCAAAGCTCAGATGAAAACAATGAGTGTCACTTATTGTCAATCCTCTTCCCTGCCTTTTCCACACTCATCAGTATTACCGTTTACATTGAGACTAAAGATGGCCAATCACCACTTTTCTTCGGAAAAATCAACCTGATGTTGTACCTACTTTTTTAGAGGTGGAATCAACCTACCCTAAGATGCCAACTACATTTTACTGAATGGACTTTTGTGGATCCCCTCGATGTATATAGTGGCACCTTGAGGTATCATCCCTGTCTTTAGCAAATGAATATTATCCCAAGGACAATATTTCATCACAATTATTCGGGATGGACGAGTGGATATTGTGGTAGCAAGAACATTACTAAAAGTCACAGCTGATACAACACACTTGAAACCCATCTGGCCAATCTCCCACAGACAGAATGTCGCGCCATTCACTCCAGCCAGCTTCAGTCATGTTTCTTCCATTTCCACCTGTGGCCCCTCATGTCTCCACCAGGTCTTAGCCAGCATTGCCAAAAGAGCCAGGAAGACCAGACCAGCCACAACAATCCTGATGGAACTCTCCACAGTATAGTTCTGGAGAACAGGGGCTGGAGGGTGGGGGTAAGATCAGAGACCTTTCCATGTGGGCCAGGCCCCTCTCTCCCCAGAAGCTCTGAAATGGAGCTATTTCCCCATCTCACCTTCATAAAATTCTTCCTGTCCAGAACCCCTCTTCTCCCTATATCATCATGAGCACCTTCAGAAGTCTTTTGCCACAAAAAGAAATTTCTTTTGAAGATATACATTTTTTTGTACATTTCAAAAATGTTCCCAAACTAATTCTCCAAAGCAATAAATGTTTGTGTGTATTGCTGGGTAGGTTATGCATACAAGGAAAGGAAGCATAGTGAGTCTGATTTGGCAGAGGAAACATATGTGGAAATTATATCATTTACTCTCTTTACAAAATTAAGTACAAAATTGAAAACACTGGTAAGAAAGAATGAGCTATAGAGAAAGAAAACATCTGAGATGCTTGTTTCCAAGATGGCTGACTAAATGCTTTTCTGGCATGTCTCATCCACTTAGAAGAACGAGCAGAATCCAGAACAAAAACCATATGATCATCTCAATAGACATAAAGAAAAGCATCTGAAAAGAAATTCAACATCCTTACCTGATGAAAACCCTCAAAAACTTAGGCATAGAAAGAACATACCTCAAAATAATAAAAGCCATAGATGACATATCTAGAGTCAACATCATACTGAACAGGAAAAGTTAAAAGCACTCCTCTGAGAACTGGCACAAGACAAGGACACGGACATCCACCACTTCCTATCAACATAGTACTGGAAGCCTTGTCAGAGCTATTGGGCAACAGGAAGAAGTAAAAATCCAAATTAGAAAAGAGGAAGTAAAATTATTTTTATTTCTGATGCTATGATCTTAAATCTAGAAAATCCTAAAGACCCTGCCAAAAATTCTTATGATTGATAAATGAACTAAGTAAAGTTTCAGAATACAAAATCAATATGTAAAAGCCGGTAGCATTTCTCTACACCTATAATGATCTAGCTGAGAACCAAATCAAGAAGGCAATGCCGTTTACAATAGATACGCAAAATTAAAACACTCAGGAATACATTTAACCAAGGTGGTGAAAGATCTGTACCAGGAAAGGTGTAAGACACCAATGAAAGCAATTATAGATAATACAAAAAAAAAAAAAGAAAAAAAATCCCACGCTCATGGATCATAAGAATTAATATTGTTAAAATGACCATACTGCCTAAAGCAATCTACAGATTCAGTGCAATTCTTATATGAAAATAGTAACACCAGTTTTCACAGAATTAGAAAAAGCAATCCTAAAATTCATACAGAACCAAAAAAGATCCTAATAGAGAAAGCAATTCTAGGTGAATGTAGAAACCTGGAGGCATCACGCTATCTGACTTCAAACTATGCTCTAAGGCTATAGTAACTTAAATAGCACAGTGCTGGTATAGACACAGAAACAGAGATCAATAGACCAGAATAGAGAGCCCAGAAATACAGCCTCATATCTACAGTGAATAATCATTGACGACGTTAACAAAACATACACTGGAGAAAGATTTCCTTTTCAATAAAAGGTGCTGGGAAAACTAAATAGCCATATGCAGAAGAATAAAACTGGACCTGTATCTGTAATCATACACATAAATTAACTTAAGGTAATTAGCAGCTTAAATGTAAATCCAGAACTATAAAATCACCGGTGGAAACCCAAAGAGAAACTCTTCTGGGCATTGGTCTGGGCAAAGAATTCATCACTAAGACCTCAAAAGCACAGGCAATAAAAATAAAACTAGACCAATGGGACTTAATAAACGAAAGAGCTTCTGCCAAGCAAAGGAAATAGTAGCAGGGTGAACAGACAACCCACAGAATGAATGGAAATGTTTGCAAACTATGCACCCAACAGAGGACTAACATCCAGAATTTCTAGGCAACTCAAACAACTAAACATAACCCCTCAAATAATAGCATTAAAAAGTGGGCAAAGGGATATACATAGACATTTTTCAAAAGAAGACATACGAATGGCCAAACAGCGTATGAACATCACTAATCATCAGAGAAATGCAAATTGAAACCACAATGAGATATCATCTTACAGTAGTCAGAATGGCTATTACTAAAAATGCTGGTGGGGAGTGGTGGCTCACGCTTGTAATCCCAGCACTTTGGGAAGCTGAGGCGGGTGGATCATGAGGTCAGGAGTTTGAGACCAGCCTGACCAACATAGTGAAACCCCATCTCTACTAAATATACAAAAGATTAGCTGGGCATGGTGGTGTGGTTCTGTAATCCCAGCTACTCAGGAGGCTGAGGCAGGAGAATCATTTGAACCTGGTTGGTGGAGGTTGCAGCGCGTGGAGATGGCGGCACTGCACTCCAGCCTGGGTGACAGTGGAAGACTCCATCTCAAAAAGAAAAAAAGAAAAAGTGAAACATATAACAGGTGTTGGCAAGGATGCAGAGAAAAGGAAACTCTTATACACTGTTGGCCGGTATGTAAATTAGTATAGCCTCTATGGAAGACAGTATGGAAATTTGGCAGAGAACCAAAAATAGAAGCACCATTCGATCTAGGGGTCCCGCTGCTGGGTATCTACTCAAAAAATACCTGCACCTGTATGTTTATTGCAGCACTGTTTGCAATAGCAAAGATATGAAATCAATCTAAGTGTCTGTGAATGAATGATTGGATTAAAAAAAGGATGCGTGTATACACAACGAAATACTATTTGGTCATAAAAATAAAACCATGTCTTTTGCAGCAACATAGATGGAGCTGGACGCCATTATTTTACATAAAACCACTCAGAAAGACAAATACCACATCTTCTCACTCTACATGGGAGGGGAGTAATGTGTACATATGGACGTAGAGTGTGGAATGACGGACAGCGGAGGCTAGAAGGCTGGAGGGTGGCGGGACGTGGGTGAGTGATGAGAATTTGCTTAATGAGTACAATGTACGGTATTTGGGTGATGGATATAGTAAAAGTCCTGACTTCACTACTCTGCAACATACTCATGTCACAAAATTACAAGTGTACCTCATAAATTTATACTAATAGAAAAGAAAGTCTGTACACAGTAATCAATTGTGATATGTAGATAAAGTCAATATTAAATTTAAACCAGAATAACTAGTTAAAATGTTGTGTACACAACAGTGAAGAGAGTATTTATCCTCTATGACAGAGGAAACCATCAATATTAATGCACAGAAAAAGCAAATAACTGAAACAAGAAAGAGCAGTTTTGTGACAGGGTAAAAATTGACAACAGTTTTAGAATGCTCCTAACTTGAGTTCCAAAAAGAAAGAACGAGAAAACAGGTCAGAAGCAATCTTTAAAGAGGCAATTGTTGATTATTTGGAGGAAGTAGACACATCCATCAATCCACAGGTTCAAGAAATCCAGTGAATGCCAGGCAGAATGAAGTAAACACACCTCACGTTCAACATTACAGAAAAGCAGCATAAAAGCACAACCAACCCTTAAAATTAGCCAGAGGAAAAGGATCAGCTGGTAAGGATTTATAGGGAGCCAAGCATTGTCTTCCCCACAGAAAAAAGGAAAACATAAGCCAGTAGAATAGCATCTTTACCCAGCTAAGATACCGTCGCCAGCCACCGACAATTCCTTACATAGTACAGTTACTGTCCAAGATCAACGCAGGAAAGAAACAGAACTGAAAGACAAAAGGGCAAAGAAAGCTTTTCTCACTGACCCTAAAGGAAATTCTGATGACCGTGCCTCAAAGATAAAGAAAGTGAAACCAGATGGGGTGTCGAAGATTCTGACAATAACTAAGAGCAGAGGAAGAACTAAAAATATGGCTATGCCAAAAATGAATATGGACCATACGATAGTGTATGAAAACACGCCCCTGTGTAATTTCTGAAAAAGATAGAATTATGTATACCACAAAACAAAACATCATATAAGTAAATACAAACATATGTACTAAATATGCTCTAAAATCCTGTTCTTACACAGGAAGAGTGGAAATATGTTTTTATATTTGCAGTTTAATCTCTGAAATGATTAATTTCAATTTTAAAAATATGTAACAACTTCAGGATGAGTACACCATATATGTATTCCTAAACGACATAGATCAAAAATAGAATGTTTGAAATAGAAAACCACAGAAGTCAGTGGGAAAAAAAGGGAATCAGGAAAACACAACGTAATAATAACAAAAATATGATTGGAAGAACTGCTCAAACATGAACAAAAGATTGTCAGAAAGTCTTACTTTCTAAGGCGAATTGTTTGAAATTTACAAAGGACACATCTCAATGTTAACAATTCATGGAGTTTGAAATTAAACAATGTAGAAATATACCAAGCAATCACTGTTAGAAATGTGGTATAACTATATTAAAATTAGACAAAATTAGTCTTTGGGAAAAATCAGCGGAAAACATTAAGCATAAAATGTAGGAAAAAAGCAGGTAAATTTATAGCATTTTAAATTTACCAGGAATATATAATCAGTTTACACTTAACCACTCCCAGTAATATTCCTGCAAATATACATGGAGGAAGAGTCGCGGAAATAAATGGACAGGTAGGCAAATCCACGGCCACAGTGGGGTGTTTAACACTCCTCTTTTCTCAGTTGTTGATAGAAGTGGTTCAGGCAATTAGAGAGGATTTAGAAAGATAATTGCTGGACCTGACCCAAGGTATAAGTCCACTCCCAACCACAGGACTCACTTTCCTTAGAAGCACAAGGGCATTTAGAAATCTCTCTGGATTCTGACCAGCCCTCACCATATGGCAGGTCCATGGACTTCTTGGAACACACCAAGCTCATTCTCACATTAGGGTCATCCCCAATGTCCTAAGTCCATGAAAGTTCCTTTCAACACACTCCCCAGGGCTCACTCCCTCTTGTCTCTAAGATCGGAGTTTAAATGTGATCTCTCTGATGAGGTCTCAGTGAGACGTTCCCTCCTGTACACTCCAAATGACAACGTTCCACGTTCATTCATTTCATTCTGTGCATGGCACTTTCACCAAGTGCTAAGGATTCACTCACTAATTCATACATTCATTCATTCATTCATTCACTCATTCCATCATTCACTCATTCATTCATTCTCTCATTCATTCATTCATGTTCTGCCTCTCTCTCCCACCCCACAGCAATGTGAGCATCATGAACCCAGGAGCTTGGCCGTGCTGTCTACTCCTGGCCGTGAAACAGAGAGAACTGATGGTAGGTGTGAAATAAATATTAGATGAATGAGTTAGTGAAGGGGTCATTTACTGGGTGAGCTCAGTTCTCTCTACTCTAATGCCCTCCCTCGGCTGACTTCCCTGAGTTGCCCCCTCGGCTGAGTGAAGTCCCTTCACTGGCAAATGGAACCTCAACCAGTAGCACCTAGGTGGTCTCATACTTTGTTCTTTCCCTCTCCTCTTGCTCCCTAAGGATTATCAATCTCCATGACAGGGCTGGAGAGCAGACAAGCCACACATTCTTTCTGGGGAGAGAGTAACATGGAGTACAAGGCATTCCACATTTAGGAAGAGAACTCAGTTATGGAAGGTCAGAAATGAAAAGTTCCTACAGACCAACACCCAGGTTGGTGGCCACAGCCCTAAATGCTGATGGAGAATCACTGCAAGTCTGTAGGGAAGATGTCTGGCTTGAGGCCACTGAGCGAAGTGGCAGATCCTTCTCAGCCTTCAGTGCTGAGCCTCTGTCCCCTCAGGGATCCACTGACCAATGAGAAGAGCCTCTTCTCATCTCCTGGGATGGAGCTTGGGGCCCCTGGCGAAGGAATGGGCCTGTTTCCACCTGTCATGTTGTCATCTAGCTTGGAAATCCTGCGAGTCCCAGGGAGGCCCTCCCCGAGTCCCCAGAGAAGACTCCCCCACTGAGTCTCCAAGGTGTGGAGAGAGCAAAAAACATCTAGGGTGGAAAATGCCTCCCATCAAGAGACATTGGGGCTCCCCCAACGATGGTTGCATCTGTGCCCCCCATGTGGAAATCACTCTTTGGTGAGAGGTGGGGGCTTCTGGAAATGGGCAATGGCGGGCGGCCAATGCTACCTCTAGTCTTTCCAATCTGAGCCCGGCCTTTCATGCTCCTGAGTCAGCATTGATGCTGTTTACATGTGTCCCAGGTGGGCTTCTGTACAAAGACTGGGAAGTGGTTTATGTGGCCTGTGCTCTATCTGCAAGCTTCAGGTAGGGTTGCAGTTACCACCCCAAACCCTAATGTGATCTGTCTGCCTCGCTCTGTCTGTCTGTCTATGCCTCTTTCTGTATGTTTGCTTTGTGTCTCTTCTGTCCAGCATCTCTGGCTGACACCCCCATGGCCACCCCCTCCATCTGAGGCTCCCCTGAATGTCGCCATTGTAGTCCATCTGAGTCCCACTATTTGGGGAACAGACTGGTTTCCTCACCTGTGACAGAAACAAGCAGTGGGTCACTAAGGTCTGACCACTCGTAGGGAGAGTCACGGAAAGAGCCGAAGCATCTGTAGGTCCCTCCGTGGGTGGCAGGGCCCAGAGGAAAGTTGGCCTGGAAGGTTCCATTGACCTTGGGCACTGCAGGGAACCTAAGTTCATGAGCCTCCCCCTCCCTTGATAGATGGTAGATGTCATAGGAGCTCCGGGAGCTGCAGGACAAGGTCACGCTCTCTCCTGCCTTAACCATGGGGCGCGGCTGGGCTGAGAGAGAAGGTTTCCCACATAGACCTGGAAGGAGAAGAGGCAGTTTCCTCAGGGAGGTTCTTCCTTGTCACAACTCCCCTCCCACCTGAGCTGAGAACTCACTCCCCTGCTCTATGGCCTAATGCTCTCTCTCTCTGTCTCACCCTCCACACCATCTCTCTTTATGTCTATTTCCTCTTTCCACCTTCTCTGTCTCTCTAGGTCTCTGACCTCACTTTCTCACCTCTAGATATGTTTTCCCTTTTTGGATTGTTTTATTCTCTCTGACTCTCCTTGGACTAGTTGACTTGATGTTACTTTTTTTAAATTCTGAGTTTCTCACTTTGTGTCCTGTTCATAACTTTCTGCATATTTCTATCTATTATCTATCGATATATCTATTTATCTATTTGGTGCCTATCTACAAATTCTCTACCTGTCATCTATATCTATATATAATCTATTTATCTATCAATTGTCTATCCAAAAATCATCTATTATCTATATCTATGTATCGTCTCTCTCTCTCTATGATTTCTCTTTGTCTGCCTCTCTATCTCTATGTATTATCTATCTATCTTCATCTTCATCATCTCTATGTATCATCGATTAATCAATGAATGAATCAATCATCATCTATGTATCTATAACCTATTATCTATCATCTACCTATTTATCATCTATCTATATCTATCCATCTATCATCTGTCTTGCTCTGCCTCTCGGTCTCTCTAGTTCTCTTTGGAATCTCTGCAATTCATCCCCACATCTCCATCTTTCTATGTCCTTGTGTCTCTCCCTCAGGACTCTAATTTTAGTGCTTTTCTCTGTTCCCTTCCATTGTTCTCTCCACTTCTCTGCCCTCTTTTCTCCCTCTTTATGTGTCTGTGAGTCTCTCAATCTCCTTCCTCTGGCTCATTCTCTGTGTGTTTATGTCTTTGCTTTTTGGTGTCCCTGATTTCTCTCTGTGTCTCTCAGTGATCCTCTCATATGTGGGGTTATTTGGAATGTGAGCCTCAGAATCCAGTCTGGGGACCGCAAGTTCACACAGTATACAGGGGTTGATGTTCTGGGGCCATGATATCCTGGGACGATTACTCTCCATTGCATGGAAGGCAGAGGTGTCAGAATAAACACGGCATCTGTAGGTGCCAGAAGGCCTGAGGCCACAGGGCCCAACTCAGGCCAGAAATATGGGTGTCCTTGGGTTCTTCTGGTAGAGAACACTTTGTGGAAGTAAAACAGAAATGAAACTTCTAACCTGTGCCAGGTCTCTGAGCAAAGTCAGCATGGAAGGACACCTCTCTCTGGCACATGTCTGTCTGTGTCTCCTTTAACTCTTTCTGTCTTTTCTAACTCCCTGTATGGCCCCTGTGTCTGTCCTCTGTTATGACACCTGGTCTGTACTTGTGTCTCCTGTTTCTCTGTCTCTGTTGGTACAGACCTCACCAAGTTAGTCTCTCTCCATAAGAATACCAAGCTCATCTTCCTTATAACCACCTGGGCCTCCAAGTCGTGGATCATTCACTCTGTGTCCCAGTGACAATGAGAATAATGTCCAGACACTCTCACCTGTAATCACGATGTCCAGAGGGTCACTGGGAGCTGACAACTGATAGGGGGAATGAGGAACAGAACCGTAGCATCTGTAGGTCCCTGCAAGGTCTTGCGTCATGCGACCGATGGAGAAGTTGGCCTTGGAGACCCCATCATGGAGCTCTCCAGTGAGGCGCAAAGTGTCATTAAACTTCCCCTCTCTGTGCAGAAGGAAGTGCTCAAACATGACATCTGACCAACATTGCAGGATGACTGTCTCTTCTGATTTCACCAGGGGACCTGGGTGGGCCAGGAGGGAAGGTTTTCTGTGGACTCCTAGGAAGAGAGGTTGTGACTTTAGAAGGCATCTCTCTTTATCATCCCATCCATGGCACCTAGAATGAGTGAGGCTTCCCCTCGCTGGTGTCTTATCTCTCTCCTTCCTCTCTGTGTCTTCATGTTCTTTTCTGTGCCCATAACTCCTGGTACAGGTCCTTCCATCTGTCTCCCTCCCTCTTCTCTGTCCCTCTGTCTCTAGTAGCTCCTGATTCCCTTGCCGCTGGGCTCAGCCTCATCTCTTGGGCTGTTGTATCTATTTCGAACTAATGTCTTTCCTGCTTCTATGTGGGGGTGGAAGAGGAACCAGGATAGGCTGCACGTCCAGGCTCTTAGCAGACTGGTTCAATCTCTTTTGGACGAATTGGAATCCTTGGCAGAAGGTATGAACTGATCAGTAAGGCAGGCACCAGTGTCCACACACCCTGTTCCTGGTGGGGACTGGGAGCCACTCTTGCCATGCCTGTGCCTTCTCCATGGTGCCAGCTTCCATAGGCTGGCTTCTGGTGCTGGTTTGAGGAGTATCAACCCCTCCCTATGTGGATGGAGCCTGGTGGTGGCATCATCATCCCACCCTTGCTGATCTCGGTGTAGCCAACCTTCTCTTTGTTTGGTTTCTTTAATTAATTAATTAATTTTGGAGTCAGAGTCTCACTCCTTCACCCAGGCTGGAGTGAAGTGGTGTGGTCTAGGCTCACTGCAACCTCTGTCTCCTGGGTTCAAGTGATTCTCCTGCCCTCAGCCTCCTGAGTTGCTAGGATTACATGCACCTGCCACCACGCCCGGCTATCCTTGTGTCCTTTCTTATCTTGTCCTTGACCTGGGTTCCAGTGTTGGTTTCCTGTTGGTGCTGTGGAAAATTATCAGAAGCATGGCAGCAGGAGAGAGCACACTGACCCCTTCCGTTTCTGGAGACAGAAATCGGACCCTGTTTTTTGAGGGCTAAAATCAAGGCATCTGCAGGGCTGCGTTCCCTCTGGAGACCCAGGAGAATCAGTTCCTTGACTTTTCCAGCCTCTATAGGCCACCTGCATTCATGGCTCATGGCCTTCCTCCACCTTCAAAGCTGATGGAGACTTCCATTGCACTGCTCTAATCGCCACTCCCCTCTTCCTTCTCCTCTCATGTGCACCCTTGTGATTACACTGAGCCCAGCAGGACAGTCCAGGCTGTCTCCCCATCTCAAGGTCAACTCAACAACCTGAGCTCCATCTTCCCCTTCAGTGCCTTCCCCTATAACATAAATAGTCACAGACTGCAGGGATTAGAATGCAGTCATCATTGGGGACAATTATTCTTTCCACCACAGCACCCATTTCCCTGTATTCAATCCCCTTTTACCCCAAATACAGTTAGGGTCTGGATGATGGGACGCTGGTGGACACTCCCACCAGAAGCTCTGGGACTCAGGAGGTGGGACAAGGAGAATCCCAGACAGGAGCCCTCTGACCTGTGACCATGATCACCAGGGGGTTGCTGGGTGCTGACCACCCAGTGAGGAAGTGTGGGTGTGAACCCCGACATCTGTAGGTCCCTGCATGTGCTGGGGTCACAGGGCCTATGAAAACGGTGTTTCGGAATACTCTGTTGTAGAGCTCAGGGACAGGCATCCCGTCTTCTTTGGACAGACTGAATTCGTTAAACCCAAGACGAGAGCGACACTGAAGAGCCACATGTTCTCCTTCAGACACCACAGGGCTGGGCCAGGCAGAGAGGAAGGGCTTGTCCTGACCACCTGGGGGAGAAGGAGGCGCCACCTTAGAGAGGAGGATGTGGCACTCCCTCCCTCTATTCCTTTCCAGGACTCACCAACACACGCCATGCTGACGACCATGAGCGACATGGTGCTGCCGGTGCAGACAGGCGGCCGCGCCCCAGCTCAGCTCAGCAGCGCACAGGATGTTATTTGGCGCCCTGCCCATGCAGCTTACATGTTGACTACATCATGGGAGGGTGACGTACGCAGGCTCTTTCTACCTTGCATGAGGCCCAGTGGATGCTTGCTCAAGAGCGGAACACGGCTTCCTGGAAATTGTTCTCACTAGAATTGGCACCTCACGTCCTTCACTATGACCAACTCACAACACGTCTCAGATCCAACCTCCCGAACACAAGATGCCTAAAATCTGTGCTAACGTGAAAGACTTTTCATGTATTTTTATCCGAACACGAGATGCCTAAAATCTGTGCTAACATGAAAGACTTTTCATGTATTTTTTTTGTTTTTATCTGAGATTCAAACTCTTCTTCCTGTGTAATATGCAAAGTATCTAATAGGTATTATTAATGTTTTCGGAGTCATTGTGACTAATAAACCATTAGAATTTTTCATGCTTGTATTTCTAGTATTACAGCAGAACCAGCTAAAATGATTTAAATTCCCAGGGAAGGATTATGCAATTATTTACAATCTTAGAATTGTACTTTATCAGCAAAAACCACACCTGTAAATTCTGGAGTTTTGTAGTTTAATCTAAAATTTGTCTCATGACCCAAGATTCCAGAGTCCCAACTCTGGAGTTTGCTCTCTGTCTGTCTCTCTCCCTCCCTCGTTTTAAATTTTACAGAAATATCCAGTAACATAATGCTATAGAAAATCAAGTTTTCCCCAGCACGTTGGGAAGCCGAGGTGGGCGGATCAACTGAGATAAGGAGTTTGAGAGCAGCCTGGCCAATATAGTGAAACCGTGTCTCTGTTAAAAATCCAAAAATTAGCCGTGCCTGGTGGCAGGCACCTGTAACGCCAGCTACTCAAGAGGCTGAGGCACGAGAATCGCTTGAACCTGGGAGGCGGAGGTTGCAGTGAGCTGAGATTGTGCCACTGCAGTCCAGCCTGGGCGACAGAGCAAGACTCCGCCTCAAGAAAAAAAAAGCAAACAGCCTATAATAACAAATTAGAGGGCTCTGGCTACTAAATTTAAAGGGTTCTATAAGGCTACATAAAGTGCAGCATCATCAAGAGTGTGGACACAGAGAGCCCCTTAGCAGAAACAGTGTCTAAAATACATCCATGTACACACAGTCCCTTTAGAGTTGACAAAGGCTGCCGTGTGGTTTAAGGTGGCATAGAATGTCTTCTCAATAAATAATATTAAACCAATTGGTTACACCTAGGAAAAAATAAATCTAACTCACACTATAAAAACACTTCTTAGTTTTTATCTAGTTGTACATTTTTTATGATTTATATTTAAATTTGAGAAATAAAAGTCATATACGGTCATCCTTCACTATTCGTGGGTGATTGGTTTTGAGATCTCCACTCAGATACCAAAATCTGTAGATGCTCAAGCCTCTTATATGAAATGGCACAGCGTTTGCAAATAACCTATGCACATCCTCCTGTATACATGAAATCATCTCTAGATTACTTATAATTCCTGATACAGCCTACACACAGCTTCATTTGTGTCCATTCAACATAGTTATGCTTTTTGAAACTCTGTGGATACTTTCTCTCAATATTTTTGATTTATACTTGGTTCAATAAACACCTGTAAACCCCGCAGATATGGAGGAGTGACCGTATATTTATATTATGAAAGATGATGTGTTGATATGTGTCCCCATGGAGATGAGACTAACAAGGCCTATGATTCTACAAATGTTTCATTGTGGAATGACTCTGCCAGCTTTCCAGGTCTGCAGAGAGTAAGAGTATCACTTGTTCATATGATTCGTGATCCTTGGAACCTCCTATGTGCTACATCTTTGGATGGAAATTGGAGTCCCAGAGACAAATGAGGCTCCACCCTGCTTCCAGAAACTCAGAGTCCGGGGATGAGAACTCAGTGGGGAACAGATGGGATTATATGGACATGGTACTGATAACACCGGAAGCCTTAGGCAAGAAAAGAGTCCCATTACCGAAACCATGGGGGCAGACATGTTTATTTGAAGGATGGAAAACTACATTGAAGTTATTTTAAAAAATATATAAGTTTTACTGCTGACAGAAGACTGAAAGCTAGTCTGAGGGGAGGTGGAACAGCATGAGGGAAGGTGGAACAACACGTGTCTAAGTGCTGCGTTAAGAGGGAGCCTCTTGTATGTTTGGAATTGTGAGTTCCTCAGTGTGATTGCAGCCTCAAGTAGACTAGGAAGTAAGCCAGTTAGGTTGGAGAGGTGGGCAGGGGTCAAGTGAAATGGAGAACTGTGGGTTAAGCAAAGGGGTGTGTTTTTTCTCCAGCAGGCAGTGGGGACCTTAGACATTTGTAAGCAAGTGAGAGGCACATTCAGATTTGTGGTGTGAGGAAGATCGATGCCCTAAGATGCAGACTCACGCCTTCAGATTCCAGCTGCTGGTACATGGGAGCTGGCAACCCGGTTTTGAGACAGGGCTGTTGTCTCCCTAGAAGACGCCCTCAAGGCCTGACTGTGGTGCTCATGGGCAGGAGACAACTTTGGATCTGGACTCAGCATTTGGAAGTTCCGTGTACACGATGATATCTGTTGGGGGTGTCTTGGGCCTCTGAGAAGGGCGAGTGATTTTTCTCTGTGTGAAAACGCAGTGATTCAACTGTGTGTATGTCACCTCCTGAGGGTCTTGTTCATCAGAGTCCTGGAGAGAGGGAAATGCTGAGTGAGGGAGGGTGCTCACATTTTCCAGGACTCTTTGGGAATAACAGTAGCCACGAGCCCGGGCCGAGGAGTACCTACCTCGCTATTCGCTGTTCTGTTTCCTGCAGACTCTTGGTCCATTACCGCAGCATCTGTAGAAGATGGAAGTCAACAAAACAGCTCGGAGGGCACTTCTGGGTCCTCATTTCATAAGCAGATACCAACATACAGGGGGAGACCATAGGTGGCTGAGGTCCCTCAGTTGCCAACAGCAGACTCAGACATTCTATCTCTCTGAGCTCAAGGACCCATCCCATGAATAGCTCTGAGTTCCCATCCCATTGATTCTGTCTCCCACTTTCTGCCTGTCATGGAACCTTCTCCTGGATGTGAGTGGCTGCAGGGGACATGGGGATACAGTTCAGAATCAGGCAACGGTCTGTGAGTTGAAGGCAGGGACAGGGAGTCTGGTGCCCTCTCTAGAAAGTCCTGCCTCTGTGGCTGCTGCCTTGGGCCAGGGACCATCCTGTTTGTGAGGAACACACACCTGAGTGCTCCCATCCTGCTTCCCCACATGGCCCTGAGCTCTCTGGCCTCTGCTTCGTGAGACTTACTTTTTTTGTTGGAGCACCAGCGATGAAGGAGAAAGAAGAGGAGGATGAAGAGGATGATGACCACTGAGGTCCCAATCAGAATGTGCAGGTGTCGGGGGTTACCTGGAAGAAGATGAGACACCAATAAGAAGCTAATCTTAGCAGTTCCTCTTTATGAATTGTCTCGCATTTCTTGATTGACAGGTAACCACATAAAACACCTCTTTAGGACAAGCACCCAGATGGCAGGAGACCCAGCTTTCTCCTGCTTTTTCAGTTATAGCTCTCATAGTAACCATAGAACGTGCTGAGGATACGACTACTTTAGTTGAGATGTTTGACCCCTTCAAACCTCACATTGAAATTTCACCCCCACTGTGGGAGGTTGGGCCTCTTGAGAGGTGTTTGGGTCATGGAGGTGGATCCATCATGAACACATCAATGCTGTCCCAAGGAGACGGGGTTAGCAAGTTCCCCCTCTATTAGTTCCCGGAGAGCTGGTTGTTAAAAAGAGCTTGGAAGCTCCATCACTCCCCCTCCCCCTTGCTCCCTCTCTTGCCGTGTGATCTCTGTGGTCTCTGCACAGACAGACCCTCCTTCCCTTCTGCCAGAGTGGGAGCAGCCTGAGGCCGTCACGAGAAATAGATGCTGGTGCCATGCTTCCAGTACAGCCTGCAGAACGGTGAGGCAAACCAATCTCTTTTCTTTAGAAGTTACCGAGGCTCAAGTGTTCCTTTAGAGCAACAAAAATGGCCTAAGACAGCAACTTCCTGAGATCAGGAGGAACGTCTCAGAACACCCTGGGCTGTCTTCCTGTTCTTCCTGGAGGACGTCATGCAGTGCTTTAGCTGAGTGCTTCCTGTGGCTCCAGGGTACAAAACCCAGGCTGGGCTGCTTTCTGGCTTCCCGCAGCTACACTGCAAATGGGGTGACTCCATATGTCCCGAGGAGCTTTTCTGAGCCTTGAGGGACTGGGTCACATTGAAATATAGGTTTCTGTTGTCACTCGCTGCTTATCTGTTAGTAATGAACCTGCCTATGTAACGTATTCTCTGTGTGTTCTGTCTCCCTGGAGTGACGGTGAGTGATAGGAATTGGCATAGGCCCAGGTGCAGTCCAGGAGGTGTTTAGAGTCTTCTCTGGGAAGACTGGACTGGGATTGATTCACAGCGAATGTGCTTTAGGGTTTCTACATCCACAGCATTCTTGAATCAAACAACTTGCATTCTCCAAGGAAAGAAAACAAAAGTGAAATCAAGATAAAAAAAGCGAAATAGAATTCTCTTATGTCAAACGGCCAGGAAATAGTGTTGAAGCCCGTGTGAAACCTGCTGCTCTTTGTGATCTCGGGAGACACATATTAGGCTGCTGTTCTACCCGAGAGGCTGGGGGAAGGACCACCCCCTCGGCCATCTATTGCTTCAAAACCACCTGTCCTCCTGTGAATTAGTAGGAAAGGGGAGCAGGAGCTAGTGCTGTCGCTGATCTCTGATTCCAAGATCTGGACTCACTCCAAGGAGTGTTAATGTTTACCTCCCCATGGTCTATCTGAATCTCCACAGGTGATTGGAAGTAGGGGTGAGGTGGGGGATTTGGGTGAGTGGGCAAGTTTTTTTTGTGATGACCAGAGCACTTTCTCTATTCCAGGATCTGTGCTGGAGGATTCAGCGGGCTTTCACATTTTCTATATGATCTCATGCTCACAGAAAGCCAAATAGGGAAGAGGTTTTAGGCTCATTGCCTAATGGATAAGATAAAGGATCAAAGAAGTAATTATAGAGAAATAGAAAAACGATGATTGGAATTCAGGTGCCTTTGTCATTCGTGTGTGTTTTATTATATTTATGTATTTCTTATTTTTATTTTTTGAGATAGAGTCTCCTTGTGTCCCCCAGGCTGGAGTGCAGTGATGCAATCTCCACTCACTGCAACCTCCACCTACTGGGTTGAAGTCATTCTCCTGCTTCATCCTCCAGAATAGGAGCTGGGATTACAGGGATGCACCATCGTGCTCGGCTAATTTTTGTATTTTTAGTAGAGATAGGGTTTCACCACGTTGGCCAGGCTGGTCTGGAACTCCTGACTTCATGGAATCCACCCACCTTGGCCTCCTGCAGTGCTAGGTTACAGGCGTGAGCCACTGTTCACAGACTTGTATATTATGCTATAATAAGTCTCTTCATTTCCACCACCACTCATATATCTGTCACTCCTTTGCCAGGTATTGATTTATGTGTAGGATGAATAAATCTCAGAAAGAAATTAATTAAGCGAGGATTAAACAAGTAGGAAAATCAAACCCAGTAAGCCTTTCCAGTCAATGATTCTACCTCACAAACATATCTTATATCCATCTACTTCATTCATTTAGTGTCTAAATCAGCACCACATTTCACCAGTGGGGCGGCAATTGCCTTTTCCACGGTCTCCTAGATTCCAGTTATGCACCTGGGCCTCCCTTATTTTCATGTCAGTCATATTAATCATGTAGGGATTCCTGGTTACCCCGAGGTGAATCCAATGGCTGTGAGTGTCAAACACACACTCCTTGTTGCTCCTTAGTTTCCTGTGTACCCAGTGTGCTCTCCGTCTCTCTACAGTCGTCTTGTCATTCTCCCCACCTCATTCCCAGCATTTGAGTCAGAGCCTCTTCCTTCCACATCAGATTGTTTTCACCTTTGTGCCTTCATGGCTGACAGCTGTGTGTGCAAAATCCTTCCGCCAATCTTTCAGGGGTTCATTCCGTGTTTTTCATTAATGTCACAAATATCTGAATAGTGAGACCTTCTTTGTCACCTGAAATCATACACTCAGCATTATCTATTATTGATTTTGAATTCTGGCTGGGCACAGTGGCTCACGCCTGTAGTCCCATTACTTTGGCATGCTGAGACGGTCGGATCACTTGAGGTTGGGAGTTTCAGACAAGCTTGGCCAACGTGGTGAAACATCCTCTCTACAAAAAATATACAAAAAGAATTAGCCGGGCACGGTGGCAGTTGCCTGTAATCCCAGCTACTCGAGAGGCGGAGGCAGGAGAATCACTTGAATCCAGGAGACGCAGGTTGCAGTGAGCCAAGATCGTGACACTGCACTGTAGCCTGGAAGACAGAGGGCGACTCTGTCTCAATAAACAAAAGAACAAACAAAAAATAGATTTCATGCACAGATGCTTCCCAATGGACCATTCATTTATAGATCCACTTGTGCGTTCATTTTCTGCCCTCCCATTTAACCATCTGCAATATCAGTGTCCCAAGGGCAGAGGCCAAATGCATCTTGTTCACTGTTTGTGGAAGGCAGGAGAATGCTGTCCCACCCCAAAATGTCCCTGTCCTAGCCTCCATAGCTTGTGAATATGTTATTTTACATGGAAAGGAGGAATGAAGATTGCAGATGGAATTATGGTTGCTAATCAGCTGAACTTAAAACAAGGGTATCCTGGATGATTTCCAGGAGATTATGAGGGATTTTCATCTTGGTGAACCCAATAGAATCCCCAAGTTTTCAAAAGATGAGGAAGAAGGGAGAGCAGCACTCAGAGAAAGAGGTGTGGTAAGGAAGAAGGCACTGAGTGATGCCATGTGAGATGTGACCAGTCTTTGTGGGCTTTGAGGAAGGAGGAAGGGGACCAGGAGCCAAGGAACTGGGAGCCTTTAGAAGCTGGGACAAGTGAGAAGCAGATTCGTGCCTGGAATCCTCAGAGGGAAGGCAGCCTTGCTGTCACCTTGATTTTAGCCCAGTAAGATGCACTTCCTACTTTGAGCTACAGCACTGTAAGATAATTAAAAAACCGTTTTGTTTTCACCCACGAATCTTGTGGAAATTTGTTATGGCAACAATAGGAAAAGGTTCCACACTGCACAGCCTGAGCATGGGGCCGTGGCTGAATGAGTCAGTGAGTCGAAGTGTGCGTGCATGAGCTCTGTTCTCTGTTACGGCAAGGCTCTTTCTCTGCGGAGTCAGCCAGGGTTGCTTCATGACCTACAGGAGCTCATTCCTTGGCAAGTGGAACTTCTCTAAAACACCTTGCCCTCATCAGATGTTCCCTTCCCTTCCCTCTCTCAAGTCTCCAGGAATTTATCCTCCAGTTAGGAATGCAGGTAGAACAAACATTGCATTTTTCCTGAGAAGGATGTCAGATTGGCAATCATTCTTCTAGCTTGTAGGAGGTCTCAGCTCCATAAAATGAGAGATGAAGAGATTTCACTGAGCCCTGTGTTGGGCCCAGATCCCTTTCGCTGTAGGAGTATCTGGAGTTCGGAGATGGTGGAAGACAAGTGTACAATGTCAGAGCTGTGAGATGCTGAGTCAACGCCTGAATCCAAGGTTCCCACCTCCCCAGGGTTCCAAAAGCGGATATAAGAGGGTTCTGTACTCACCGGTTTTGGAGCTTGGTTCAGTGGGTGAAGGCCAACTATTTGAAGGGTTTCCTAGAACATGAGACAGGAGAGAGGTGAGGAAATGAGGGTGTCTGTCCTCCACTCAGTGGAAATCTTTGAGGATGGTTCATGGCCAACACTCTCTTATCTAATATTGAGCCCTGGGAGTCCTGGGATCCTTTTTTCCATAATTTTTTTATATGACACCCACTGTCTTGAGACTTCAAGATATAAAGAGAAAACAGGAGCATCACACTACCTGATCTCAAAATATGTTACAGAGCTGTAGTAAGCAAAATAGCATGACATTGGCATAAAGAAAGGCACATAGAACAACGGAGCAGAATGAATAACACAGATATATTCCATGCATTTACATCCAATGGTTTTTTATTTTTTCTTTTGAGATGGAGTCTTGCTCTGTCACTCAGGCTGGAGTGCAGAGGTGCAATCTCGGTTCACTGCAACCTCAGCCTCCTGGGTTCAATCATTCTCTTGCCTCAAATTCCTGAGTAGTGGTATTACAGGTGCTGACCACCATGCTCAGCTAATTTTTATATTTTTAGTGGAGACGATGTTTCATCACGTTGGCCAGACTAATCTTGAACTCCTGGCCTCAGGTGATCCACCCACCTCGGGCTCCCAAAGTGCTGAAATTGCAGGTGTTAGCCACCAAGCCCAGCCCATCCAATGGACTTTGACAAAGATGCCAAGAACTCACAATCAGGAAAGGACAGTCTTTTCAATAAACAGTGCAGGGAAACCTGGACATCTACATGCAGAGGAATGAAACTGCAACTCTACCTGTCACCATACACAAAAATCAAATGAAAATGGATTAAAGATGTGAGTCTAAGGCCTGAACCTATGAAACACGTAGAACAAAATATTGGGGAAATGCTCCAGGACGTTTGTCTGAAGGAAGACATTTTGTTTTAAACCTTCAAAACACAAGTAATCGAAGCAAAAATAGACCATTGGGATTACCTCAAACTAAGCAACTTCAGCACTGCTAAAAATAAACCAACAAAGTGAAGAGACAACCCACAGATTGGGAGCAAATATGTGCAAACTATGCATCTGAGATGGGATTAATAACTAGAAATATAAGAAGCTCAAACAACTCAATAAAACAAATGATTTAATTGAAAAAGGAGCAAAAGACATGAAATTTCCCCACATACGAAAAAGTGCTCAGTATCACTCATCATCAGAGAAACGCAAATTAAAATCAAAGTGAGTTTTCATCTCACCCCATTAAAATGGCTTTTAGGCCGGGTGAGGTGGCTCACTTGTGTCATCCTAGAACTTTGAGAACCTGAGGTGGGTGAATCTCATAAGGTTGGGAGTTTGAGACCAGTCTGACCCACATAGAGAAACGCTGTCTCTACTAAAAATACAAAAATTAGTAGGGCGTGGTGGCGTGTGCCTGTAATTCCAGCTACTCGGGAGGCTGAGGCAGGAGAATCGCTTGAACCTGGGAGGTGGAGGTTGTGGTGAGCCGAGATAGCGCCACTGCACTCCAGCCTGGGTGAGAAGAGCAAAACTCCATCTCAAAATAAAATGAAATAAAATAAAATGGCTTTTAGCTGCAAGACAGGCAAAAGAAATGCTGGCAAGGTGGTAGAGAAAGGAGAACCCTGGTACCCTGTTGGGAGGAGTGTAAATTAGTACAGCCATTACGGAGAAAAGTATGGAAGTCCTTTAAAGAACTAAAAAGAGGTTGGGTGAGGTGGATCATGCCTGTAATCCCGGCACTTTGGGAGACTGAGGCGGGCACCTCAGTTGAGGTCATGAGTTTGAGAGCAGCCCAGCCAACATGGGGAAACCGCATCTATACTAAAAAAACCAAAAAGTAGCCAGGCATGGTGGTGTGCACCTGTAATCCCAGCTACTAGGGAGGCTGAGGCAGGAAAATCATTTGAACCCAGGAGGCGGAGGTTGCAATGAGCCAAGGTTGCACCACTTTGACTCCAGCTTGGGCTAAGGAGGGAAACTCTTTCTCAAAAAAGAAAAAAAAAAAAAAAAGAGAACTTTCATAGTATCCAGCAATTTCACTACTGGGTTTATATCCAAAGGAAAGTAAATCAACATATCGAAGTGATATCTGCACTCGTATGATTGGTGCAGCACTGTTCACAGTAGCCAAGATGAGGAGTCAACCTACCTGCCCATCAGTGGGTGAATGGATAGAGAGAATGTAGTACATACGCACAGTGGAGACTACTCATCCATAGAAAGAATAACATCCTGTCATTTGCAGCCACATGGATGGAACTGGAGGTCATTAAAAAGATTCCCATTTCTCACCCATATACAGGAGCTAAAAGGTGGATCTCATGAAGGTAGAGAGTAGAATGGTGGCTACTGGAGGACAGGAAGAAAAGGGTGGAGGGTAAAAAAAATGTATATATATATATATATAAAAATGTATTTATGACCACTAGACTTTACACTTAAAAATGGTAAATGTGGCTGGGCCTGGTGGCCCATGCCTGTAATCCCAGCACTTTGGGAGGCTGATGCGGGTGGATCACGTGGTCAGGAGTTCGAGACCAGCTCGACCAACATGGTGAAACCACCTCTCTACTAAAAATACAAAAAGTAGCCTGGCGTGGTGGTGCGTGCCTGTAGCACTAGCTACTCAGGTGGCTGAGGCAGGAGAATCGCTTGAACCCAGGAGGCGGAGGTTGCAGTGAGCTGAGATTGTGCCACTGCACTCCATCATAGGGGACAGAGCTAGACTCCACCTCAAAAAAAAATGTTAAAAGTGGTAAGCTATATAGGTATATTTATCCTCAATAAATATTTCTTCAAAGAAAAGTAAAGGGTGTAGGGGTTGCTGGTGATGACATCTCTGTGTGGGTGAGAGGCCAGGATGGGCTTCTGGGAAATGGGTAAGGTTGAGGGGCTGAGGGAACCTCTGATCTCCCCAAACTGAGCCCAGTCTCCCTCCTCTGGGTCTCTCCTGACCGCTTTCTCCATCTGCCTGGGTGCCTGGAGCCCTGGCCGTGGGCCTCCATGCAGGCCATGTAGGAGGGTTTGGAGGTGCCCTGTCGGCCATCCTGTGCCCTGATCCCTCCCTCACACCGAGGCTGCGTCTTCTCTCTGCATCTGTCCATGCTTCTCTCCATCCTCAGCAGGAAGCTCCTCAGCTAAGGCTCTAGGATCATAGGACATGGGACAGCCATGGGCTTTCCTCACCTGTGACAGAAACAAGCAGTGGGTCACTTGACTTTGACCACTCGTATGGAGAGTCATGGAAAGAGCCGAAGCATCTGTAGGTCCCTCCGTGGGTGGCAGGGCCCAGAGGAAAGTCAGCCTGGAATGTTCCGTTGACCTTGGGCCCTGCAGGGAGCCTACGTTCATGGGCCTCCCCTTCCCTGGATAGATGGTACATGTCATAGGAGCTCCGGGAGCTGCAGGACAAGGTCACATTCTCTCCTGCCAGAACCGTGGGGCCCAGCTGGGCTGAGAGAGAAGGTTTCTCATATAGACCTGGAAGGAGAAGAGGCAGTTTCCTCAGGGAGGATCTTCTTTGTCACAGCTCCCTTCACCTGAGCTGAGAACTCACTCCCCTGTTCTATGACCTAATGCTCTCTCTCTCTCTCTCTCACCCTCTACCCCATCGCTCTTCATGTCTATTTCCTCCTTCCACCTTCTCTGTCTCTCTAGGTCTCTGACCTCACTTCCCCACCTCTAGATATGTTTTCTCTTTTTGGATTGTTTTATTCTCTCTGACTCTCCTTGGATTGGTTGACTTGATGTTACTTTTTTTAATTCTGAGTTTCTCACTTTGTGTCCTGTTCATAACTTTCTGCATATTTCTATCTATTATCTATCGATCTATCTATTTATCTATTCGGTGCCTATCTACAAATTCTCTACCTGTCATCTATATCTATATATCATCTATTTATCCATCAATTGTCTATCTATCCATCAATCATCTATTATCTATATCTATGTATCATCTCTCTCTCTCTATGATTTCTCTATGTCTGCCTCTGTATCTCTATGTATTATCTATCTATCTGTCTTCATCATCATCATCTCTATGTCTCATCTATTAATGAATCAATCAATCATCATCTATGTATCTATAACCTATTATCTATCATCTACCTATTTATCATCTATCTATATCTATCCATCTATCATCTGTCTTGCTCTGCCTCTCGGTCTCTCTAGTTCTCTTTGGAATCTCTGCAATTCATCCCCACATCTCCATCTTTCAATGTCCTTGTGCCTCTCCCTCAGGAGTCTAATTTTAGTGCTTTTCTCTGCTCCCTTCCATCATTCTCACCACTCCTCTGCCCTCTTTTCTCTCTCTTTATGTGTCTGTGAGTCTCTCAATCTCCTTCCTCTGGCTCATTCTCTGTGTGTTTATGTCTTTGCTTTTTGGTGTCCCTGATTTCTCTCTGTGCCTCTCACTGATCCTCTCATAAGTGGGCTTATTTGGAATATGAGCCTCAGAATCCAGTCTGGAGACTACAAGTTCACACAGCATACAGGGGTTGGTGTTGTGGGGCCATGATATCCTGGGACGATTACTCTCCATTACATGGAAGGCAGAGGTGTCAGAATAAACATGGCATCTGTAGGTGCCACAAGGCCTGAGGCCACAGGGCCCAACTCAGGTCAGAAATATGGGTGTCCTTGGGTTCTCCTGGTAGAGAACACTTTGTGGAGGTAAAACAGAAATGAAACTTCTAACCTGTGCCAGGTCTCTGAGCAAAGTCAGCATGGAGGGACACCTCTCTCTGGGACATGTCTGTCTGTGTGTCTCCTTTAACTCTTTCTGTCTTTTCTAACTCCCGGTATGGCCCCTGTGTCTGTTCTCTGTTATGACACCTGGTCTCTACTTGTGTCTCCTGTTTCTCTGTCTCTGTTGGCACAGACCTCACCAAGTCAGTCTCTCTCCATAAGAATACCAAGCTCATCTTCCTTACAGCCACCTGGGTCTCCAATTCCTGGATCATTCACTCTGCATCCCAATGACAATGAGAAGAAAGTCTGGACACTCTCACCTATGATCACGATGTCCAGAGGGTCACTGGGAGCTGACACCTGATAGGGGGAGTGAGTAACAGAACCGTAGCATCTGTAGGTCCCTGCCAGGTCTTGCGTCATGCGACTGATGGAGAAGTTGGCCTTGGAGACCCCATCATGGTGTTCTCCAATGAGGCGCAAAGTGTCGTTAAACATCCCCTCTCTGTGCAGAAGGAAGTGTTCAAACATGACATCTGACCAACACTGCAGGATGACTGTCTCTTCTGATTTCACCAGGCGACCTGGGTGGGCCAGGAGGGAAGGTTTTCTGTGGACTCCTAGGAAGAGAGGTTGTGAGTTTAGAAGGTGTCTCTCTTTATCATCCCATCCATGGCACCTGGATTGAGTCAGGCTTCCCCTTCCTGGTGTCTTATCTCTCTCCTTCCTCTCTGTGTCTTCATGTTCTTTTCTGTGCCCATAACTCCTGGTGCAGGTCCTTCCATCTGTCTCCCTCACTCTTCTCTGTCCCTCTGTCTCTAGTAGCCTCTGATTCCCTTGCCGCTGGGCTCAGCCTCATCTCTTGGGCTGTTGTATCTATTTCGAACTAATGTCTTTCCTGCTGTCTATGTGGGGGTGGAAGAGGAACCAGGATAGGCTGCACATCCAGGCTCTTAGCAGCCTGGTTCAATCTCTTTTGGACGAATTGTAATCCTTGGCAGGAGGTATGAACTGATCAGTAAGGCAGGCACCAGTGGCCACACACCCTGTTCCTGGTAGGGACTGGGAGCCACTCTTGCCATGCCAGTGCCAGCTTCCATAGGCTGGCTCCTGGTGCTGGTTGGAGGAGTATCAACCCCTCCCTATGTGGATGGAGCCTGGTGGTGGCATCATCATCTGAGCCTTGCTGATCTCAGTGTAGCCAACCTTCTCCTTGTTTGGTTTCTTTAATTAATTAATTAATTTTGGCGACAGAGTCTCACTCCTTTGCCCAGGCTGGAGTGAAGTGGTGTGGTCTAGGCTCACTGCAACCTCTGTCTCCTGGGTTCAAGTGATTCTCCTGCCCTCAGCCTCCCAAGTCGCTAGGATTACATGCACCTGCCACCATGCCTGGCTATCCTTGTGTTGTTTCTTAACTTGTCCTTGACCTGGGTTCCAGTGTTGGTTTCCTGTTGCTGCTGTAGAAAATTATCAGAAGCATGGCACCAGGAGAGAGCACACTAACCCCTTCCAATTCTGGAGACAGAAATCGGACCCTGTTTGTCGTGGGTAAAATCAAGGCACCTGCAGGGCTTCGTTCCCTCTGGAGACTCAGGAGAATCAGTTCCTTGACTTTTCCAGCCTCTATAGGCCACCTGCATTCATGGCTCCTGGACTTCCTCCACCTTCAAAGCTGATGGAGACTCCCATTATGCTGCTGTAATCCCCACTCCCCTCTTCCTCCTCCTTTCATGTGGACCCCTGTGACTACACTGAGCCCATCAGGACAGTCCAGGCTGTCTCCCCATCTCAAGGTCAACTCATCAACAACCTGAGCTCCATCTTCTCCTTCAGTCCCTTCCCCTATATCATAAATAGTCACAGACTCCAGGGATTAGAATGTAGTCATCACTGGGGACAATTATTCTTCCCACCACAGCACCCATTTCCCTGTATTCAATCCCCCTTTACCCCAAATACAGTCAGGACTTGCATGATGGGACCCGCAAGGACACGCCCACCAGGAGCTCTGGGATTCAGGAGGTGGGACAAGGAGAATCCCAGACAGGAGCCCTCTGACCTGTGACCGTGATCTCCAGGGGGTTGCTGGGTGCCGACCACCCACTGGGGTAGTGTGGTTGTGAACCCCGACATGTATAGGTCCCTGCGTGTGCTGGGGTCACAGGGCCCATGAAAAGGCTGTTCCAGAATATTATGTTGTAGAGCTCAGGGACAGGCACCCCATCTTCCTTTTACAGACTGAAGTTGTTAAACCCAAGATAAGAATGACACTGAAGAATCACATGTCCTGGAGGCACCACAGGGCTTGGCCAGGCAGACAGCAAGGGCTTGTCCTGACCACCGTGGGGAGAAGGAGGCACCGCCTTAGAGAGGAGGATGTGGAGCCGCCCCTCCCTCCCTGTGCTCTGAAGATTCTCCTCGCTTTCCAAGTTTCTATGGCTGCTATCACACCTTGGTGCCCAGGGCTAAAGGAAGGACCCATCCCGCAAACACAAGGTGTCTCCCTACAACAAAAGTGTCAGCTGAGAACTTTGAGCAAGTGCTGAGTAAGAGACTCCTACTAGATTTTAATACTGTAAGATTACTCACATAAAACAACACAGGGTAGACATGGGGTGGAGGGCATGTCCTTTGAGAATGGAATATCAGCCGATGCCTGAACGAAAATAAACAACTGAGTCCCCATCAGAGGATTGGAATGTCAGGGCCATGGCTGTGGTTTTCCCACCTCTTCTGGTAGAATGACAGCAGCCACACTGCAGCCCCTACCGTCATGGAAACGCTGAAGTGTGTGAGTAACACCTTTGTCCTCAGAGGATCTGCTGTTCCTACCACTTCCCCACCACACACCCCAGCTTTGAGCACCGTAGTCTAACCCTGGTCCCCACAGAACTTGACTCTGCCAAGGGAATGAAAGGCCAGGGAGGCAAGGTCAGAAATGTGGGCCCAGCACCCCAGGGTCCCTTCTTCCTAGTTTATGAGAGACTCCCTGACAGGACTTCCCTCCCATTTCAGGAAAATCCTCTTATGTGGGGAGATGACACCCGAAGGTTGGGAGAAGGACTCACCCTCATGTGGCCAGGCCCCCTGCAGCAAGAAGAACCCTGGAAAGAAAGATCATGATGGATGACCCATCTGCAGGCAAACCAGGGCACCCTTGCTGCCCCCACTGGGCTGTGAGTCTTGGTAGCCAGGCCCTTCCTGGGCTGAAGGTAAACTCACCCTCAGTGCCTACCTGCACCCAAGAACAGGGCTGTCGGCTGTGCAGAGACCCAGCCTCCAGGTCCATATCCCCACCTCAAGCCCATATCTCCACTCCAGGCCCATATCTCCACTCCAGGCCGATATTTCCACCCTAAGCCCATATCGCCAATCCAGGCCCATATCTCCAATCCAGGCTCAGATCTCCACCCTGGGCCCATATCTCCAATCCAGGCCCTTATCTCCACTCCAGGTCCATATCTCCTCTCCAGTCCCATATCTCCACTCCAGGCCCATATATCCTCTCCAGTCCCATATCTCCACACCCAGGCCCGTATCTCCATCCTAGGCACATATCTCCTCTCCAGGCCCAGATATCGACCTCTAGGCCCATATCTCCACTCCTGGCCCATATCTCCACTCCAGGCCCAGATATCGACCTCTAGGCCCATATCTCCACTCCTGGCCCATATCTCCACTCCAGGCCCATGTCTCCACTTCAGGCCCATATCTCTACTGCAGGCCCATAACTCCACCTCCAGGCCCATGACTCCACTCCAGGCCCATATCTCCACCTCCAGGCCCATATCTCCCCTCCAGGTTCCTATCTCCCCTCCAGGTTCCTATCTCCACTCCAGGCCCAGATCTCCACTACAGTCCCATCACTCCACCTCCAGGCCTATATCTCGACCTCTGGGCCCAGATCTCCACTTCTAGGCCCATCACTCCATCTCTAGGCCCATATATCCACTCCAGGCCCAGATCTCCACTCCAGGCCCATAACTCCACCTCCAGGCCTATATCTCCACCTCTGGGCCCAGATCTCCATCCCCTCACTCCCTCCCTCTATTGCTTTCCAGGACTCACCAACACACGCCATGCTGACGACCAAGAGCGACATGGTGCTGCCGGAGCAGACAGGCAGCCGCGACCGAGCTCAGCTCAGCAGCGCACAGGATGTTATTTGGCGCCCTGCCCATGCAGTTTACATGTTGACCACATCATGGGAGGGTGACGTACGCAGGCTCTTTCTACCTTGCATGAGGCCCAGTGGGTGCTCGCTCAAGAGCGGAACACGGCTTCCTGGAAATTGTTCTCGCTAGAATTTGACACCTAGTGTCCTTCACTATGACCAACTCAAAACACGTCTGAGATCCAACCTCCCGAACACGAGATGCCTAAAATCTGTGCTAACATGAAAGACTTTTCATGTATTTCTATTGTTTTTATCTGAGATTCAAACTCTTCTTCCTGTGTAATATGCAAAATATCTAATAGGTATTATTAATGTTTTCAGAGTCATTGTCACTAATAAACCATTAGAATTTTTCATGCTTGTATTTCTAGTATTACAGCAGAACCAGTTAAAATGATTTAAATTCCCAGGGAAGGATTATGCAATTATTTACAATCTTAGAATTGTACTTTATCAGTAAAAACCCCACCTGTAAATTCTGGAGTTTTGTAGTTTAATCTAAAATTTGTCTCATGACCCAAGATTCCAGAGTCCCAACTCTGGAGTTTGTTTTCCGTCTGTCTCTCTCCCTCCCTCATTTTAAATTTTACAGAAATATCCAGTAACATAATGCTATAGAAAATCAAGTTTCCCCAGCACGTTGGGAAGCCGAGGTGGGCGGATCAACTGAGATAAGGAGTTTGAGAGCAGCCTGGCCAATATAGTGAAACCGTGTCTCTGCTAAAAATCCAAAAATTAGCCGTGCCTGGTGGCAGGCACCTGTAACGCCAGCTACTCAAGAGGCTGAGGCATGAGAATCGCTTGAACCTGGGAGGCAGAAGTTGCAGTGAGCTGAGATTGTGTCACTGCAGTCCAGCCTGGGCGACAGAGCAAGACTCCGCCTCAAGAAAAAAAAGCAAATAGCCTATAATAACAAATTAGAGAGCTCTGGCTACTAAATTTAAAGGGTTCTATAAGGCTACATAAAGTGCAGCATCATCAAGAGTGTGGACACAGAGAGCCCCTTAGCAGAAACAGTGTCTAAAGTACATCCGTGTACACACAGTCCCTTTAGAGTTGACAAAGGCTGCCGTGTGGTTTAAGGTGGCATAGAATGTCTTCTCAATAAATAATATTAAACCAATGGGTTATACCTAGGAAAAAATAAATCTAACTCACACTATAAAAACACTTCTTAGTTTTTATCTAGTTGTACATTTTTTATGATTTATATTTAAATTTGAGAAATAAAAGTCATATACGGTCATCCTTCACTATTCGTGGGTGATTGGTTTCGAGATCTCCACTCAGATACCAAAATCTGTAGATGCTCAAGCCTCTTATATGAAATGGCACAGAGTTTGCAAATAACCTATGCACATCCTCCTGTATACATGAAATCATCTCTAGATTACTTATAATTCCTGATGCAGCCTACACACAGCTTCATTTGTGTCCATTCAACACAGTTCTGCTTTTTGTAACTCTGTGGATACTTTCTCTGAATATTTTTGATTTATACTCGGTTCAATAAAGAACTGTAAACCCCACAGATATGGAGGAGTGACTGTATATTTATAGTGTGAAAGATGATGTGTTGATATGTGTCCCTGTGTAGATGAGACTAACAAGGCCTATGATTCTACAAATGTTTCATCTTGGAATGACTCTGCCAGATTTCCAGGTCTGCAGAGAGTAAGAATATCACTTGTTCATGTGATTCACGATCCTTGGAACCTCCTATGTGCTACATCTTTGGATGGAAATAGGAGTCCCAGAGACAAATGAGGCTCCACCCTGCTTCCAGAAACTCAGAGTCCGGGGGTGAGAACCCAGTGGAGAACAGATGGGGTTATGTGGACATGGTAATGATAATGGAAGTCTTAGGCAAGAAAAGAGTCCCATTACCGAAACCATGAGGGCAGACATGTTTATTTGAAGGAGGGAAAACTACATTGAAATTATTTTAAAAAATATATAAGTTTTACTGCTGACAGAAGGCTGAAAGATACTCTGAGGGGAGGTGGAACAGCATGAGGGAAGGTGGAACAGGACGTGTCTAAGTGCCGTGTTAAGAGGGAGCCTCTTGTATGTTTGGAACTGTGAGTTCCTCAGTGTGATTGCAGCCTCAAGTAGACTAGGAAGTAAGCCAGTAAGGTTGGAGAGGTGGGCAGGGGTCAAGTGAAATGGAGAATTGTGGGCTAAGCAAAGGAGTGTGTTTTCTCTCCAGCAGGCAGTGGGGACCTTAGACATTTGTAAGCAAGAGAGAGGCACATTCAGATTTGTGGTGTGAGGAAGAGCGATGCCCTAAGATGCAGACTCACGCCTTCAGATTCCAGCTGCTGGTACATGGGAGCTGGCAACCCGGTTTTGAGACAGGGCTGTTGTCTCCCTAGAAGATCCCCTCAAGGCCTGACTGTGGTGCTCATGGGCAGGAGACAACTTTGGATCTGGACTCAGCATTTGGAAGTTCCGTGTACACTCTGGTATCTGTTGGGGGTGTCTTGGGCCTCTGAGAAGGGCGAGTGATTTTTCTCTGTGTGAAAACGCAGTGATCCAACTGTACGTATGTCACCTCCTGAGGGTCTTGTTCATCAGAGTCCTGGAGAGAGGGAAATCCTGAGTGAGGGAGGGTGCTCACGTTTTCCAGGACTGTTTGGGAATAACACTAGCCACGAGGCTGGGCCGAGGAGCACCTACCTCGCTATTCGCTGTTCTGTTCCCTGCAGGCTCTTGGTCCATTACAGCAGCATGTGTAGGAGACGGAAGTCAACAAAAGAGCTCGGAGGGCACTTCTGGGTCCTCATTTCATAAGCAGATACCAACAAACAGGGGGAGGCCATAGGTGCCTGAGGTCCCTCAGTTGCCAACAGCAGACTCAGACATTCTATCTCTCTGAGCTCAAGGACCCATCCCATGAATAGCTCTGAGTTCCCATCCCATTGATTCTGTCTCCCACTTTCTGCCTGTCATGGAACCTTCTCCTGGATGTGAGTGGCTGCAGGGGACATGAGGATACAGTTCAGAATCAGGCAACGGTCTGTGAGCTGAAAGCAGGGACAGGGAGTCTGGTGCCCTCTCTAGAAAGTCCTGCCTCTGTGGCTGCTGCCTTGGGCCAGGGACCATCCTACCTGTGAGGAACACACACCTGAGTGCTCCCATCCTGCTTCCCCACATGGCCCTGAGCTCTCTGGCCTCTCCTTCGTGAGACTTACTTTTCTTGTTGGAGCACCAGCGATGAAGGAGAAAGAAGAGGAGGAGGATGAAGAGGATGATGACCACTGAGGTCCCAATCAGAACGTGCAGGTGTCTTGGGTTACCTGGAAGAAGATGAGACACCAATAAGAAGCTAATCATAGCAGTTCCTCTTTATGAATTGTCTCGCATTTCTTGATTGACAGGTAACCACGTAAAACACCTCTTTAGGACAAGCACCCAGATGGCGGGAGACCCAGCTTTCTCCTGCTTTCTCAGTTATAGCTCTCAAAGTAACCATAGAATGTGCTGAGGACACAACTACTTTAGTTGAGATGTTTGACCCCTTCAAACCTCACATTGAAATTTCACCCCCATTGTGGGAGGTTGGGCCTCTTGAGAGGTGTTTGGGTCATGGAGGTGGATCCATCATGAACAGATCAATGCTGTCCCAAGGAGACGGGGTTAGCTAGTTCCCCCTCTATTAGTTCCTGGAGAGCTGGTTGTTCAAAAGAACTTGGAAGCTCCATCGCTCCCCCTCCCCCTTGCTCCCTCTCTTGCCGTGTGATCTCTGTGGTCTCTGCACAGACAGACCCTCCTTCCCTTCTGCCAGAGTGGGAGCAGCCTGAGGCCATCACGAGAAATAGATGCTGGTGCCATGCTTCCAGTACAGCCTGCAGAACGGTGAGGCAAACCAATCTCTTTTCTTTAGAAGTTGCCCAGGCTCAAGTGTTCCTTTAGAGCAACAAAAATGGACTAAGACAGCAACGTCCTGAGATCAGGAGGAACGTCCCAGAGCAGCCTGGGCTGTCTTCCTGTTCTTCCTGGAGGAGGACGTCATGCAGTGCTTTAGCTGAGTGCTTCCTGTGGCTCCAGGGTACAAAACCCAGGCTGGGCTGCTTTCTGGCTTCCCCCAGCTACACTGCAAATGGGGTGACTCCATATGTCCCGAGCAGCTTTTCTGAGCCTTGAGGGACTGGCTCACATTGAAATGTAGGCTTCTGTTTTCACTCGCTGCTTATCTGTTAGTAATGAACCTGCCTATGTAACGTATTCTCTGTGTGTTCTGTCTCCCTGGAGTGACGGTGAGTGATAGGAATTGGCGTAGGCCCAGGTGCAGTCTAGGAGGTGTTTAGGGTCTTTTCTGGGAAGACTGCACTGGGATTGACACACAGCGAATGTGCTTTAGGATTTCTACATCCACAGCATTCTTGAGTCAAACAACTTGCGTTCTCCAAGGAAAGGAAACAAAAGTGAAATCAAGATAAAAAAGCGAAATAGAGTTATCTTATGTCCAACAGCCAGGAAATCGTGTTGAAGCCCCTGTGAAACGTCCTACTCTTTGTGATCTCGGGAGACACATGTTAGGCTGCTGTTCTACCTGAGAGGCTGGGGGAAGGACCACCCCCTCCACCATCTATTGCTTCAATACCACCTGTCCTCCTGTGAATTAGTAGGAAAGGGGAGCAGGAGCTAGTGCTGGTGCTGATCTCTCATTCCAAGATCTGGACTCACTCCAAGGAGTATTAATGTTTACCTCCCCATGGTCTATCTGAATCTCCACAGGTGATTGGAAGTAGGGGTGAAGTGGGGGATTTGAGTGAGAGGGCAAGTTTTTTTTGTGATGAACAGAGCACTTTCTCTATTCCACGATCTGTGCTGGAGGATTCAGCGGGCTTTCACATTTTCTATATGGTCTCATGCTCACAGAAAGCCAAATACGGAAGAGGTTTTAGGCTCATTGCCTAATGGATAAGACAAAGGATCAAAGAAGTAATTATAGAGAAATACAAAAATGATGATTGGAATTCAGGTGCCTTTGTCATTCGTGTGTGTTTTATTATATTTATGCATTTCTTATTTTTATTTTTTGAGACGGAGTCTCCTTGTGTCACCCAGGCTGGAGTGCAGTGATGCAATCTCCACTCACTGCAACCTCCACCTCCTGGGTTGAAGTCGTTCTCCTGCTTCATCCTCAAGAGTAGGAGCTGGGATTACAGGGATGCACCACCATGCTCGGCTAATTTTTGTATTTTTCATAGAGACAGGGTTTCACCATTTTGGCCAGGCTGGTCTGGAACTCCTGACTTCAAGTGATCCACCCGCCTTGGCCTCCTGCAGTGCTGGGAATTGCCTTTTCCACGGCCTGAGCATGGGGCCGTGGCTGAATGAGTCAGTGAGTCGAAGTGTGCGTGCATGAGCTCCGTTCTCTGTTAAGGCAAAGCTCTTGCTCTGCTGAGTCAGCCAGGGTTGCTTCATGACCAACAGTAATTCATTCCTGGGCAAGTGGAACTTCTCTAAAACACCTCGCCCTCATCAAATGTTCCCTACCCTTCCCTCTCTCAAGCCCCCAGGAATTTATCCTCCAGTTAGGAATGCAGGCAGAACAAACATTGCATTTTTCCTGAGAAGGATGTCAGATTGCCAATCATTTTTCTAGCTTGTAGGAGATCTCAGCTCCATAAAATGAGAGATTAAGAGATTTCACAGAGCCCTGTTTTGGGTCCAGATCCCTTTCGCTGTTGGAGTATCTGGAGTTTGGAGATGGTAGAAGACAGGCGTACAATGTCAGAGCTGTGAGATGCTGAGTCAACGCCTGAATCCAAGGTTTCCACCTCCCCAGGTTTCCAAAAGCGGATATAAGAGGGTTCTGTACTCACCGGTTTTGGAGCTTGGTTCAGTGGGTGAAGGCCAACTATTTGAAGGGTTTCCTAGAACATGAGACAGGAGAGAGGTGAGGAAATGAGGGTGTCTGTCCTCTACTCAGTGGAAATCTTTGAGGTTGGTTCATGGCCAACACTCTGTTATCTAATATTGGGCCCTGGGAGTCCTGGGATCCTTTTTTCCGTAATTTTTGTATGTGACGGCTACTGTCTTGAGACTTCAAGGTATAAAGAGAAAACAGGAGCATCACACTACCTGATCTCAAAATATGTTACAGAGCTGTAGTAAGCAAGACAGCATGACGTTGGCATGAAGAAAGGCACATAGAACAACGGAGCAGAATGAATAACACAGATATAATCCATGCATTTACCTCCAATGTATTTTTTGTTTTTCTTTTGAGATGGAGTCTTGCTCTGTCACCCAGGCTGGAGTGCAGAGGTGCAATCTCGGTTCACTGCCACCACAGCCTCCTGGGTTCAATCACTTCTCTTGCCTCAAACTCCTGAGTAGTGGTATTACAGGTGCTGACCACCATGCTCAGCTAATTTTTATATTTTTAGTGGAGACGATGTTTCATCACGTTGGCCAGACTAATCTTGAACTCTTGGCCTCAGGTGATCCACCCACCTCGGGCTCCCAAAGTGCTGAAATTGCAGGTGTCAGCCACCATGCCCAGCCCATCCAATGGACTTTGACAAAGGTGCCAAGAACTCACAATCAGGAAAGGACAGTCTTTTCAATAAACAGTGCAGGGAAACCTGGACATCGACATGCAGAGGAATGAAACTGCACCTCTGCCTGTCACTATACACAAAAATCAAATGAAAATGGATTAAAGATGTGAGTCTAAGGCCTGAACCTATGAAACACGTAGAAGAAAATATTGGGGAAATGCTCCAGGACGTTTGTCTGAAGGAAGACATTTTGTTTTAAACCTTCAAAACACAAGTAATCGAAGCAAAAATAGACCATTGGGATTACCTCAAACTAAGCAACTTCTGCACCGCTAAAAATAAACCAACAAAGTGAAGAGACAACCCACAGATTGGGAGCAAATATGTGCAAACTATGCATCTGAGATGGGATTAATAACTAGAAATATAAGAAGCTCAAACAACTCAATAAAACAAATGATTTAATTGAAACAGGAGCAAAAGACATGAAATTTCCCCACATACGAAAAAGTGCTCAGTATCACTCAT
This sequence comes from Homo sapiens, assembly GCF_000001405.40. Classification (NCBI taxonomy): domain Eukaryota; kingdom Metazoa; phylum Chordata; class Mammalia; order Primates; family Hominidae; genus Homo; species Homo sapiens. The sequence continues at coordinate 64,339 of NW_016107309.1, read as the reverse complement.
CATCAGAGAAACACAAATTAAAATCAAAGTGAGTTTTCATCTCACCCCATTAAAATGGCTTTTAGGCCGGGCGTGGTGGCTCACGTCTGTCATCCTAGAACTTTGAGAGCCTGAGGTGGGTGAATCTCATAAGGTCGGGAGTTTGAGACCAGTCTGACCCACATGGAGAAACACTGTCTCTACTAAAAATACAAAAATTAGTCGGGCGTGGTGGCGTGTGCCTGTAATTCCAGCTACTCGGGAGGCTGAGGCAGGAGAATCGCTTGAACCTGGGAGGTGGAGGTTGTGGTGAGCCGAGATCGCACCACTGCACTCAGCCTGGGTGACAAGAGTGAAACTCCATCTCAAAATAAAATGAAATAAAATAAAATGGCTTTTAGCTGCAAGACAGGCAAAAGAAATGCTGGCAAGGTGTTAGAGAAAGGAGAATCCTGGTATCCTGTTGGTAGGAGTGTAAATTAGTACAGCCATTACGGAGAAAAGTGTGGAAGTCCTTTAAAGAACTAAAAAGAGGTTGGGTGAGGTGGATCATGCCTGTAATCCCGGCACTTTGGGAGACCGAGGCGGGCACCTCAGTTGAGGTCATGAGTTTGAGAGCAGCCCAGCCAACATGGGGAAACCGCATCTATACTAAAAAAAACAAAAAGTAGCCAGGCATGGTGGCGTGCGCCTATAATCCCTGATACTAGGGAGGCTGAGGCAGGAAAATCATTTGAACCCAGGAGGCAGAGGTTGCAATGAGCCAAGATGACATCACTTGTACTCCAGCCTGGGCACAGAGGGAAACTGTCTCAAAAACAAAAACAAAACAACAAACGAAAAACTAAAAAGAGAACTTTCATAGTATCCAGCAATTTCACTACTGGGTTTATATCCAAAGGAAAGTAAATCAATATATCGAAGTGATATCTGCACTCGTATGATTGGTGCAGCACTCTTCACAGTAGCCAAGATGAGGAGTCAACCTACCTGCCCATCAGTGGGTGAATGGATAGAGAGAATGTGGTACATTTGCATAGTGGAGACTACTCTTCCATAGAAAGAAAAACATCCTGATATTTGCAGCCACATGGATGGAACTGGAGGTCATTACAAAGATTCCCATTTCTTACCCATATACAGGAGCTAAAAGGTGGATCTCATGAAGGTAGAGAGTAGAATGGTGGCTACCAGAGGCCAGGAAGAAAAGGGTGGAGGGTAAAAAAAAATATGTGTATATATATATATATTAATGTATTTATGACCACTAGACTTTACACTTAAAAATGGTAAATGTGGCTGGGCGTGGTGGCTCATGCCTGTAATCCCAGCACTTTGGGAGGCTGATGCGGGTGGATCACGTGGTCAGGAGTTCGAGACCAGCTTGACCAACATGGTGAAACCCCCTCTCTACTAAAAATACAAAAAGTAGCCTGGCATGGTGGTGCGCGCCTGTAGCACCAGCTACTCAGGTGGCTGAGGCAAGAGAATCGCTTGAACCCAGGAGGCGGAAGTTGCAGTGAGCTGAGATTGTGCCAATGCACTCCAGCATAGGGGACAGAGCTAGACTCCGCCTCAAAAAAAAAATGTTAAAGGTGGTAAGCTATATAGGTATATTTATCCTCAATAAATATTTCTCAAACAAAAGTAAAGGGTGTAGGGGTTGCAGGTGATGACATCCCTGTGTGGGTGGGAGGCCAGGATGGGCTTCTGGGAAATGGGTAATGTTGAGGGGCTGAGGGAACCTCTGATCTTCCCAAACTGAGCCCAGTCTCCCTCCTCTGGGTCTCTCCTGACCGCTTTCTCCATCTGCCTGGGTGCCTGGAGTCCTGGCCGCAGGCCTTCATGCAGGCCATGTAGGAGGGTTTGGAGGTGCCCTGTCTGCCATCCTGTGCCCTGATCCCTCCCTCACACCCAAGCTTCGTCTTCTCTCTGCATCTGTTCATCCTTCTCTCCATCCTCAGCAGGAAGCTCCTCAGCTAAGGCTCTAGGATCATAGGACATGGGACAGCCATGGGCTTTCCTCACCTGTGACAGAAACAAGCAGTGGGTCACTCGAGTTTGACCACTCGTAGGGAGAGTCACGGAAAGAGCCGAAGCATCTGTAGGTTCCTCCGTGGGTGGCAGGGCCCAGAGGAAAGTCAGCCTGGAATGTTCCGTTGACCTTGGGCCCTGCAGAGAACCTACGTTCATGGGCCTCCCCCTCCCTGGATAGATGGTACATGTCATAGGAGCTCCGGGAGCTGCAGGACAAGGTCACGCTCTCTCCTGCCAGAACCGTGGGGCCCGGCTGGGCTGAGAGAGAAGGTTTCTCATATAGACCTGGAAGGAGAAGAGGCATTTTCCTTACGGAGGATCTTCCTTGTCACAGCTCCCTTCACCTGAGCTGAGAACTCACTCCCCTGCTCTATGACCTAATGCTCTCTCTCTCTCTCTCTCTCACCCTCCACCCCATCTCTCTTCATGTCTATTTCCTCCTTCCACCTTCTCTGTCTCTCTAGGTCTCTGACCTCGCTTCCACACCTCTAGATATGTTTTCCCTTTTTGGATTGTTTTATTCTCTCTGACTCTCCTTGGATTGGTTGACTTGATGTTACTTTTTTAAATTCTAAGTTTCTCACTTTGTGTCCTGTTCATAACTTTCTGCATATTTCTATCTATTATCTATCGATCTATCTATTTATCTATTCGGTGCCTATCTACAAATTCTCTACCTGTCATCTATATCTATATATCATCTATGTATCTATCACTTGTCTATCTATCCATCAATCATCTGTTATCTATATCTATGTATCATCTCTCTCTCTATGACTTCTGTCTGCCTCTCTATCTCTATGTATTATCTATCTGTCTTCATCATCATCATCTCTATGTCTCATCTATTAATGAATCAATCAATCATCATCTATGTATCTTTAACCTATTATCTATCATCTACCTATTTATCATCTATCTATATCTATCCATCTATCATCTGTCTTGCTCTGCCTCTCGGTCTCTCTAGTTCTCTTTGGAATCTCTGCAATTCATCCCCACATCTCCATCTTTCTATGTCCTTGTGCCTCTCCCTCAGGAGTCTAATTTTAGTGCTTTTCTCTGCTCCCTTCCATCATTCTCACCACTCCTCTGCCCTCTTTTCTCTCTCTTTATGTGTCTGTGAGTCTCTCAATCTCCTTCCTCTGGCTCATTCTCTGTGTGTTTATGTCTTTGCTTTTTGGTGTCCCTGATTTCTCTCTGTGCCTCTCAGTGATCCTTTCATATGTGGGGTTATTTGGAATGTGAGCCTCAGAATCCAGTCTGGAGACCACAAGTTCACACAGCATACAGGAGTTGGTGTTCTGGGGCCATGATATCCTGGGACGGTTACTCTCCATTACATGGAAGGCAGAGGTGTCAGAATAAACACGGCATCTGTAGGTGCCACAAGGCCTGAGGCCACAGGGCCCAACTCAGGTCATAAATATGGGTGTCCTTGGGTTCTCCTGGTAGAGAACACTTTGTGGAGGTAAAACAGAAATGAAACTTCTAACCTGTGCCAGGTCTCTGAGCAAAGTCAGCATGGAGGGACACCTCTCTCTGGGACATGTCTGTCTGTCTGTCTCCTTTAACTCCTTCTGTCTTTTCTAACTCCCGGTATGGCCCCTGTGTCTGTCCTCTGTTATGACACCTGGTCTGTACTTGTGTCTCCTGTTTCTCTGTCTCTGTTGGTACAGACCTCACCAAGTCAGTCTCTCTCCATAAGAATACCAAGCTCATCTTCCTTACAACTACCTGGGGGTTCCAAGTCGTGGATCATTCACTCTGCATCCCAATGACAATGAGAAGAATGTCCGGACACTCTCACCTGTGATGACGATGTCCAGAGGGTCACTGGGAGCTGACAACTGATGGGGGAGTGAGTAACAGAACCGTAGCATCTGTAGGTCCCTGCCAGGTCTTCCATCATGGGACCGATGGAGAAGTTGGCCTTGGAAACCCCATCATGGTGCTCTCCAGTGAGGTGCAAAGTGTCGTTAAACTTCCCTTCTCTGTGCAGAAGGAAGTGCTGAAACCTGACATCTGACCAACATTGCAGGATGACTGTCTCTTCTGATTTCACCAGGGGACCTGGGTGGGCCAGGAGGGAAGGTTTTCTGTGGACTCCTAGGAAGAGAGGTTGTGAGTTTAGAAGGTGTCTCTCTTTATCATCCCATCCATGGCACCTAGAATGAGTGAGGCTTCCCCTTGCTGGTGTCTGTCTCTCTCCTTCCTCTCTGTGTCTTCATGTTCTTTTCTGTGCCCATAACTCCTGGTGCAGGTCCTTCCATCTGTCTCCCTCCCTCTTCTCTGTCCCTCTGTCTCTAGTCGCCTCTGATTCCCTTCCCACTGGGCTTAGCCTCATCTCTTGGGGTGTTGTATCTATTTCACACTAATGTCTTTCCTGCTGTTTATGTGGGGGTGAAAGAGGAACCAGGATAGGCTGCACATCCAGCCTCTTATCAGCCTGGTTCAATCTCTTTTGGATGAATTGGAATCCTTGGCAGTAGGTATGAACTGATGAATAAGGCAGGCACCAGTGTCCACACACCCTGTTCCTGGTCGGGACTGGGAGCCACTCTTGCCATGCCTGTGCCTTCTCCATGGTGCCAGCTTCCATAGGCTGGCTCCTGGTGCTGGTTTGAGGAGTATCAACCCCTCCCTATGTGGATGGAGCCTGGTGGTGGCATCATCATCCCACACTTGCTCATCTCGGTGTAGCCAACCTTCCCCTTGTTTGGTTCCTTTAATTAATTAATTAATTATGGAGACAGAGTCTCACTCCTTCACCCCAGCTGGAGTGAAGTGGTGTGGTCTAGGGTCACTGCAACCTCTGTCTCCTGGGTTCAAGTGATTCTCCTGCCCTCAGCCTCCCAAGTCGCTAGGATTACATGCGCCTGCCACCACACCCGGCTATCCTTGTGTTGTTTCTTACCTTGTCCTTGACCTGGGTTCCAGTGTTGGTTTCCTGTTGCTGCTGTAGAAAATTATCAGAAGCATGGCAGCAGGAGAGAGCACACTGACCCATTTCACTACTGGAGACAGAAATAGGACCCTGTTTTTCCTGGGCTAAAATCAAGGCATCTGCAGGGCTTCGTTCCCTCTGGAGACTCTGGAGAATCATTTCCTTGACTTTTCCAACCTCTACAGGCCACCTGCATTCATGGCTCCTGGCCTTCCTCCACCTTCAAAGCTGGTGGAGTCTCCCATTGCGCTGCTCTAATCCCCACTCCCCTCTTCCTCCTCCTTTCATGTGGACCCTTGTGATTACACTGAGCCCAGCGGGACAGTCCAGGCTGTCTCCCCATCTCAAGGTCAACTCATCAACAACCTGAGCTCCATCTTCCCCTTCAGTTCCTTCCCCTATAACATAAATAGTCACAGACTCCAGGGATTAGAATGTAGTCATCACTGGGGACAATTATTCTTCCCACCACAGCACCCATTTCCCTGTATTCAATCCCCCTTTACCCCAAATATAGTCAGGGCCTGGGTGATGGGACCCTCAAGGACACGCCCACCAGAAGCTCTGGGATTCAGGAGGTGGGAAAGGAGAATCCAAGACAGGAGCCCTCTGACCTGTGGCCATGATCACCAGGGTGTTGCTGGGTGCCGACCACCCACTGGGGTAGTGTGGGTGTGAACCCCGACATCTGTACGTCCCTGTGTGTGCTGGGGTCACAGGGCCCATGAAAAGGCTCTTCCAGAATATTCTGTTGTAGAGCTCAGTGCCAGGCACCCCATCTTCCTTTTACAGACTGAAGTTGTTAAACCCAAGATAAGAATGACACCGAAGAATCACATGTCCTGGAGGCACCACAGAGCTGGGCCAGGCAGACAGCAAGGGCTTGTCCTGACCACCTTGGGGAGAAGGAGGCACCGCCTTAGAGAGGAGGATGTGGAGCCACCCCTCCCTCCCTGTGCTCTGAAGATTCTCCTCGCTTTCCAAGTTTCTATGGCTGCTATCACACCTTGGTGCCCAGGGCTAAAGGAAGGACCCATCCCGCAAACACAAGGTGTCTCCCTACAACAAAAGTGTCAGCTGAGAACTTTGAGCAAGTGCTGAGTAAGAGACTCCTACTAGATTTTAATACTGTAAGATTACTCACATAAAACAACACAGGGTAGACATGGGGTGGAGGGCATGTCTTTGAGAATGGAATATCAGCAGATGCCTGAATGAAAATAAGCAACTGAGCCCCCATCAGAGGATTTGGAATGTCAGGGCCATGGCTGTGGTTTCCCACCTCTTCTGGTGGAGTGACAGCAGCCACACTGCAGCCCCTACCGTCATGGAAACGCTGAAGTGTGAGTAACACCTTTGTCCTCAGAGGATCTGCTGTTCCTACCACTTCCCCACCACGCACCCCAGCTTTGAGCACCCCAGTCTAACCCTGGTCCCCACAGAACTTGACTCTGCCAAGGGAATGAAAGGCCAGGGAGGCGAGGTCGGAACTGTGGGCCGAGCACCCCAGGGTCCCCTCTTCCTAGTTTATGAGAGGCTCCCTGACAGGACTTCCCTCCTGTTTCAGGAAAATCCTCTTATGTGGGGAGATGACACCCTAAGGTTTGGAGAAGGACTCACCCTCATGTGGCCAGGCCCCCTGCAGCAAGAAGAACCCTGGAAAGAAAGATCATGATGGACGATCCATCTGCAGGCAAACCAGCCCTCCCTTGCTGCCCTCACTGGGCTGTGAGTCTTGGTAGGCAGGCCCTTCCTGGACTGAAGTTAAACTCACCCTCAGTGCCTACCTGCACCCAAGAACAGGGCTGTCGGCTGTGCAGAGACCCAGCCTCCAAGCCCAGATCCCCACCACAAGCCCATATCCCCACCACAAGCCCATATCTCCACTCCAGGCCAATATTTCCACCCTAGGCCTGTATCTCCACTCCAGGCCCATATCTCCACTCCAGGCCGATATTTCCATCATAGGCCCATATCGCCAATCCAGGCCCATATCGCCAATCCAGGCCAAGATCTCCACTGTAAGCCCATATCTCCAATCCAGGCCCATATCTCCACTCCAGGCTCAGATCTCCAACCTAGGCCCATATCTCCAATCCAGGCCCATATCTCCACACCAGGCCCATATCTCTACTGAAGGCCAGTAACTCCACCTCCAGGCCCATATCTCCACTCCAGGCCCAGATCTCCACCCCAAGCCCATATCTCCACCCCAGGCCCATATCTCTACTGAAGGCCCGTAACTCCACCTCCAGGCCCATATCTCCACCCCAGGCCCAGATCTCCACCCCAAGCCCATATCTCCACTCTAGGCCCATATCTCCTCTCCAGTCCCATATCTCCACAACCAGGCCCATATCTCCATCCTAGGCCCATATTTCCACTCTAGGCCCAGATATCCACCTCTAGGCCCATATCTCCACTCCTGGCCCAAATCTCCACTCCAGGCCCATATCTCTACTATAGGCCTATAACTCCACCTCCAGGCCCATATCTCCACTCCAGGCTCCTATCTCCCCTCCAGGTTCCTATCGGCACTCCAGGCCCAGATCTCCACTTCTAGGCCCATCACTCCATCTCTAGGCCCATATATCCACTCCAGGCCCAGATCTCCACTCCAGGCCCACAACTCCACCTCCAGGCCTATATCTCCACCTCTGGGCCCAGATCTCCAACCCCACACTCCCTTCCTCTATTCCCTTCCAGGACTCACCAACACACGCCATGCTGACGACCGTGAGCGACATGGTGCTGCCGGTGCAGACAGGCGGCCGTGCCCCAGCTCAGCTCAGCAGCGCACAGGATGTTATTTGGCGCCCTGCCCATGCAGTTTACATGTTGACCACATCATGGGAGGGTGACGTACGCAGGCTCATTCTACCTTGCATGAGGCCCAGTGGGTGCTCGCTCAAGAGCGGAACACGGCTTCCTGGAAATTGTTCTCACTAGAATTTACACCTAGCGTCCTTCACTATGACCAACTCAAAACACGTCTCAGATCCAACCTCCTGAACACGAGATGCCTAAAATCTGTGCTAACGTGAAAGACTTTTCATGTATTTTTATTGTTTTTATCTGAGATTCAAACTCTTCTTCATGTGTAATATGCAAAATATTTAATAGGTATTATTAAGGTTTTCAGAGTCATTGTGACTAATAAACCATTAGAATTTTTCATGCTTGTATTTCTAGTATTACAGCAGAACCAGTTAAAATGATTTAAATTCCCAGGGAAGGATTATGCAATTATTTACAATCTTAGAATTGTACTTTATCAGCAAAAACCACACCTGTAAATTCTGGAGTTTTGTAGTTTAATCTAAAATTTGTCTCATGACCCAAGATTCCAGAGTCCCAACTCTGGAGTTTGATCTCTCTCTGTCTCTCTGCCTCCCTCATTTTAAATTTTACAGAAATATCCAGTAACATAATGCTATAGAAAATCAAGTTTCCCCAGCACGTCGGGAAGCCGAGGTGGGCGGATCAACTGAGATGAGGGGATTGAGAGCAGCCTGGCCAACATAGTGAAACCGTGTCTCTGCTAAAAATCCAAAAATTAGCCATGCCTGGTGGCAGGCACCTGTAACGCCAGCTACTCAAGAGGCTGAGGCACGAGAATCGCTTGAACCTGGGAGGCGGAGGTTGCAGTGAGCTGAGATTGTGTCACTGCAGTCCAGCCTGGGCGACAGAGCAAGACTCCGCCTCAAGAAAAAAAAAAGCAAATAGCCTATAATAACAAATTAGAGGGCTCTGGCTACTAAATTTAAAGGGTTCTATAAGGCTACATAAAGTGTAGCATCATCAAGTGTGTGGACACAGACAGCCCCTTAGCAGAAACTGTCTAAAATACATCCATGTACACACAGTCCCTTTAGAGTTGACAAAGGCTGCCGTGTGGTTTAAGGTGGCATAGAATGTCTTCTCAATAAATAATATTAAACCAATGGGTTACACCTAGTAAAAAATAAATCTAACTCACACTATAAAAACACTTCTTAGTTTTTATCTAGTTGTACATTTTTTGATTTATATTTAAATTTGAGAAATAAAAGTCATATACGGTCATCCTTCACTATTCGTGGGTGATTGGTTTCGAGATCTCCACTCAGATACCAAAATCTGTAGATGCTCAAGCCTCTTATATGAAATGGCACAGCGCTTGCAAATAACATATGCACATCCTCCTGTATACATGAAATCATCTCTTGATTACTTATAATTCCTGATACAGCCTACACACAGCTTCATTTGTGTCCATTCAACATAGTTATGAGTTTTGGAACTCTGTGGATATTTTCTCTGAATATTTTTGATTTATACTTTGTTCAATAAAGACCTGTAAACCCCACAGATACGGAGGAGTGACCGTATATTTATAGTATGAAAGATGATGTGTTGATATGTGTCCCCATGGAGATGAGACTAACAAGGCCTATGACTCTACAAATGTTTCATCGTGGAATGACTCTGCCAGCTTTCCAGGTCTGCAGAGAGTAACAATGTCACTTGTTCATGTGATTCCCGATCCTTGGAACCTCCTATGTGCTGCATCTTTGGATGGAAATTGGAGTCCCAGAGACAAATGAGGCTCCACACTGCTTCCAGAAGCTCAGAGTCCAGAGGTGAGAACCCGGTGGAGAACAGATGGGATTATATGGACATGGTACTGATAACACCGGAAGCCTTAGGCAAGAAAAGAGTCCCATTACCTAAACCATGAGGGCAGACATGTTTATTTGAAGGAGGGAAAACTACATTGAAATTATTTTAAAAAATATATAAGTTTTACTGCTGACAGAAGGCTGAAAGCTAGTCTGAGGGGAGGTGGAACAGCATGAGGGAAGGTGGAACAGCACGTGTCTAAGTGCCGTGTTAAGAGGGAGCCTCTTGTATGTTTGGAATTGTGAGTTCCTCAGTGTGATTGCAGCCTCAAGTAGACTAGGAAGTAAGCCAGTTAGGTTGGAGAGGTGGGCAGGGGTCAAGTGAAATGGAGAATTGTGGGCTAAGCAAAGGAGTGTGTTTTCTCTCCAGCAGGCAGTGGGGACCTTAGACATTTGTAAGCAAGGGAGAGGCACGTTCAGATTTGTGGTGTGAGGAAGAGCGATGCCCTAAGATGCAGACTCACGCCTTCAGATTCCAGCTGCTGGTACATTGGAGCTGGCAACCCAGTTTTGAGACAGGGCTGTTGTCTCCCTAGAAGATCCCCTCAAGGCCTGACTGTGGTGCTCATGGGCAGGAGACAACTTTGGATCAGGGCTCAGCATTTGGAAGTTCCGTGTACACGATGATATCTGTTGGGGGTGTCTTGGGCCTCTGAGAAGGGCGAGTGATTTTTCTCTGTGTGAAAACGCAGTGATTCAACTGTGCATATGTCACCTCCTGAGGGTCTTGTTCATCAGAGTCCTGGAGAGAGGGAAATGCTGAGTGAGGGAGGGTGCTCACATTTTCCAGGACTCTTTGGGAATAACACTAGCCACGAGGCTGGGCCGAGGAGCACCTACCTCCCTGTTCACTGTTCTGTTCCCTGCAGGCTCTTGGTCCATTACAACAGCATCTGTAGAAGACGGAAGTCAACAAAACAGCTCAGAGGGCACTTCTGGGCCCTCATTTCATAAGCAGATACCAACATACAGGGGGAGACCATAGGAGCCTGAGGTCCCTCAGTTGCCAACAGCAGACTCAGACATTCTATCTCTCTGAGCTCAAGGACCCATCCCATGAATAGCTCTGAGTTCCCATCCCATTGATTCTGTCTCCCACTTTCTGCCTGTCATGGAACCTTCTCCTGGATGTGAGTGGCTGCAGGGGACATGAGGATACAGTTCAGAATCAGGCAATGGTCTGTGAGCTGAAGGCAGGGACAGGGAGTCTGGTGCTCTCTCTAGAAAGTCCTCCCTCTGTGGCTGCTGCCTTGGGCCAGGGACCATCCTGTCTGTGAGGAACACACACCTGAGTGCTCCCATCCTGCTTCCCCACATGGCCCTGAGCTCTCTGGCCTCTGCTTCGTGAGACTTACTTTTTTTGTTGCAGCACCAGCGATGAAGGAGAAAGAAGAGGAGGAGGATGAAGAGGATGATGACCACTGAGGTCCCAATCAGAACATGCAGGTGTCTGGGGTTACCTGGAAGAAGAGGAGACACCAATAAGAAGCTAATCATAGCAGTTCCTCTTTATGAATTGTCTCACATTTCTTGATTGACAGGTAACCACATACAACACCCCTTTAGGACAAGCACCCAGATGGAGGGAGACCCAGCTTTCTCCTGCTTTCTCAGTTATAGCTCTCATAGTAACCATAGAACGTGTTGAGGATACAACTACTTTAGTTGAGATGTTTGACCCCTTCAAACCTCACATTGAAATTTCACCCCCACTGTGGGAGGTTGGGCCTCTTGAGAGGTGTTTGGGTCATGGAGGTGGATCCATCATGAACAGACCAATGCTGTCCCAAGGAGACGGGGTTAGCAAGTTCCCCTTCTATTAGTTCCTGGAGAGCTGGTTGTTCAAAAGAGCTTGGAAGCTCCATCGCTCCCCCTCCCCCTTGCTCCCTCTCTTGCCGTGTGATCTCTGTGGTCTCTGCACAGACAGACCCTCCTTCCCTTCTGCCAGAGTGGGAGCAGCCTGAGGCCGTCACGAGAAATAGATGCTGGTGCCACGCTTCCAGTACAGCCTGCAGAACTGTGAGGCAAACCAATCTCTTTTCTCTAGAAGTTACCCAGGCTCAAGTGTTCCTTTAGAGCAACAAAAATGGACTAAGACAGCAACGTCCTGAGATCAGGAGGAACGTCTCAGAACAGCCTGGGCTGTCTTCCTGTTCTTCCTGGAGGAGGACGTCATGCAGTGCTTTAGCTGAGTGCTTCCTGTGGCTCCACAGTACAAAACCCAGGCTGGGCTGCTCTCTGGCTTCCCCCAGCTACACTGCAAATGGGGTGACTCCATATGTCCCGAGTAGCTTTTCTGAGCCTTGAGGGACTGGCTCACATTGAAATGTAGGTTTCTGTTGTCACTCGCTGCTTATCTGTTAGTAATGAACCTGCCTGTGTAATGTATTCTCTGTGTGTTCTGTCTCCCTGGAGTGACGGTGAGTGATAGGAATTGGCATAAGCCCAGGTGCAGTCCAGGAGGTATTTAGAGTCTTCTCTGGGAAGACTGCACTGGGATTGATACACAGCGAATGTGCTTTAGGATTTCTACATCCACAGCATTCTTGAATCAAACAACTTGCATTCTCCAAGAAAAGGAAACAAAAGTGAAATCAAGATAAAAAAAGCTAAGTAGAATTCTCTTATGTCAAATGGCCAGGAAATAGTGTTGAAGCCCGTGTGAAACGTGCTACTCTTTGTGATCTCGGGAGACACATGTTAGGCTGCTGTTCTACCCGAGAGGCTGGGGGAAGGACCACCCCCTCGGCCATCTATTGCTTCAATACCACCTGTCCTCCTGTGAATTAGTAGGAAAGGGGAGCAGGAGCTAGTGCTGGCACTGATCTCTGATTCCAAGATCTGGACTCACTCCAAGGAGTATCAATGTTTACCTCCCCATAGCCTATCTGAATCTCCACAGGTGATTGGAAGTAGGGGTGAGGTGGGGGATTTGGGTGAGTGGGCAAGTTTTTTGTTGCGATGAACAGAGCACTTTCTCTATTCCACGATCTGTGCTGGAGGATTCTGAGGGCTTTCACATTTTCTATGTGATCTCATTCTCACAGAAAGCCAAATAGGGAAGAGGTTTTAAGCTCATTGCCTAATGGATAAGATAAAGGATCAAAGAAGTAATTATAGAGAAATAGAAAAACGATGATTGGAATTCAGGTGCCTTTGTCATTCGTGTGTGTTTTATTATATTTATGTATTTCTTATTTTTATTTTTTGAGATAGAGTCTCCTTGTGTCCCCCAGGCTGGAGTGCAGTGATGCAATCTCCACTCACTGCAACCTCCACCTACTGGGTTGAAGTCATTCTCCTGCTTCATCCTCCAGAATAGGAGCTGGGATTACAGGGATGCACCATCGTGCTCGGCTAATTTTTGTATTTTTAGTAGAGATAGGGTTTCACCACGTTGGCCAGGCTGGTCTGGAACTCCTGACTTCATGGAATCCACCCACCTTGGCCTCCTGCAGTGCTAGGTTACAGGCGTGAGCCACTGTTCACAGACTTGTATATTATGCTATAATAAGTCTCTTCATTTCCACCACCACTCATATATCTGTCACTCCTTTGCCAGGTATTGATTTATGTGTAGGATGAATAAATCTCAGAAAGAAATTAATTAAGCGAGGATTAAACAAGTAGGAAAATCAAACCCAGTAAGCGTTTCCAGTCAATGATTCTACCTCACAAACATATCTTATATCCATCTACTTCATTCATTTAGTGTCTAAATCAGCACCACATTTCACCAGTGGGGTGGCAATTGCCTTTTCCACGGTCTCCTAGATTCCAGTTATGCAACTGAGCCTCCCTTATTTTCATGTCAGTCATATTAATCATGTAGGGATTCCTGGTTACCCCGAGGTGAATCCAATGGCTGTGAGTGTCAAACACACACTCCTTGTTGCTCCTTAGTTTCCTGTGTACCCAGTGTGCTCTCCGTCTCTCTACAGTCGTCTTGTCATTCTCCCCACATCATTCCCAGCATTTGAGGCAGAGCCTCTTCCTTCCACATCAGATTGTTTTCACCTTTGTGCCTTCACGGCTGACAGCTGTGTGTGCAAAATCCTTCCGCCAATCTTTCAGGGGTTCAATCCGTGTTTTTCATTAATGTCACAAATATCTGAATAGTGAGACCTTCTTTGTCACCTGAAATCATACACTCAGCATTATCTATTATTGATTTTGAATTCTGGCTGGGCACAGTGGCTCACGCCTGTAGTCCCATTACTTTGGCATGCTGAGACGGTCGGATCACTTGAGGTTGGGAGTTTCAGACAAGCTTGGCCAACGTGGTGAAACATCCTCTCTACAAAAAATATACAAAAAGAATTAGCCGGGCACGGTGGCAGTTGCCTGTAATCCCAGCTACTCGAGAGGCGGAGGCAGGAGAATCACTTGAATCCAGGAGACGCAGGTTGCAGTGAGCCAAGATCGTGACACTGCACTGTAGCCTGGAAGACAGAGGGCGACTCTGTCTCAATAAACAAAAGAACAAACAAAAAATAGATTTCATGCACAGATGCTTCCCAATGGATCATTCATTTATAGATCCACTTGTGCATTCATTTTCTGCCCTCCCATTTAACCATCTGCAATATCAGTGTCCCAAGGGCAGAAGCCAAATGCATCTTGTTCACCGTTTGTGGAAGGCAGGAGAATGCTGTCCCACCCCAAAATGTCCCTGTCCTAGCCTCCATAGCTTGTGAATATGTTATTTTACATGGAAAGGAGGAATGAAGATTGTAGATGGAATTGCGGTTGCTAATCAGCTGAACTTAAAACAAGGGTATCCTGGATGATTTCCAGGAGATTATGAGGGATTTTCATCTTGGTGAACCCAATAGAATCCCCAAGTTTTCAAAAGATAAGGAAGAAGGGAGAGCAGCATTCAGAGAAAGAGGTGTGGTAAGGAAGAAGGCACTGAGTGATGCCATGTGAGATGTGACCAGTCTTTGTGGGCTTTGAGGAAGGAGGAAGGGGAACAGGAGCCAAGGAACTGGGAGCCTTTAGAAGCTGGGATAAGTGAGAAGCAGATTCTTGCCTGGAATCCTCAGAGGGAAGGCAGCCTTGCTGTCACCTTGATTTTAGCCCAGTAAGATGCACTTCCTACTTTGAGCTACAGCACTGTAAGATAATTAAAAAACCGTTTTGTTTTCACCCACGAATCTTGTGGAAATTTGTTATGGCAACAATAGGAAAAGGTTCCGCACTGCACAGCCTGAGCATGGGGCCGTGGCTGAATGAGTCAGTGAGTCGAAGTGTGCGTGCATGAGCTCCGTTCTCTGTTACGGCAAGGCTGTTGCTCTGCTGAGTCAGCCAGGGTTGCTTCATGACCAACAGTAATTCATTCCTTGGCAAGTGGAACTTCTCTAAAACACCTCGCCCTCATCAGATGTTCCCTTCCCTTCCCTCTCTCAAGCCCCCAGGAATTTATCCTCCAGTTAGGAATGCAGGCAGAACAAACATTGCATTTTTCCTGAGAAGGATGTCAGATTGGCAATCATTCTTCTAGCTTGTAGGAGGTCTCAGCTCCATAAAATGAGAGATTAAGAGATTTCACTGAGCCCTAGGTTGGGCCCAGATCCCTTTCGCTGTTGGAGTATCTGGAGTTCGGAGATGGTAGAAGACAGGCGTACAATGTCAGAGCTGCGAGATGCTGAGTCAATGCCTGCATCGAAGGTTTCTACCTCCCCAGGTTTCCAAAAGCGGATATAAGAGGGTTCTGTACTCACCGGTTTCGGAGCTTGGTTCAGTGGGTGAAGGCCAACTATTTGAAGGGTTTCCTAGAACACGAGACAGGAGAGAGGTGAGGAAATGAGGGTGTCTGTCCTCTACTCAATGGAAATCTTTGAGGTTGGTTCATGGCCAACACTCTGTTATCTAATATTGGGCCCTGGGAGTCCTGGGATCCTTTTTTCCGTAATTTTTGTATGTGACGCCCACTGTCTTGAGACTTCAAGGTATAAAGAGAAAACAGGAGCATCACACTACCTGATCTCAAAATATGTTACAGAGCTGTAGTAAGCAAAACAGCATCACATTGGCATAAAGAAAGGCACGTAGAACAATGGAGCAGAATGAAGAACACAGATATAATCCATGCATTTACCTCCAATGTTTTTTTCTTTTTTCTTTTGAGATGGAGTCTCGCTCTGTCACCCAGGCTGGAGTGCAGAGGTGCAATCTCGGTTCACTGCCACCACAGCCTCCTGGGTTCAATCAATTCTCTGGCCTCAAACTCCTGAGTAGTGGTATTACAGGTGCTGACCACCATGCTCAGCTAATTTTTATATTTTTAGTGGAGACAATGTTTCATCACGTCGGCCAGACTAATCTTGAACTCCTGGCCTCAGGTGATCCACCCGCCTTGGGCTCCCAAAGTGCTGAAATTGCAGGTGTCAGCCACCATGCCCAGCCCATCCAATGGACTTTGACAAAGGTGCCAAGAACTCACAATCAGGAAAGGACAGTCTTTTCAATAAACAGTGCAGGGAAACCTGGACATCTACATGCAGAGGAATGAAACTGCACCTCTACCTGTCACTATACACAAAACTCAAATGAAAATGGATTAAAGATGTGAGTCTAAGGCCTGAACCTATGAAACACGTAGAAGAAAATATTGGGGAAATGCTCCAGGACATTTGTCTGAAGGAAGACATTTTGTTTTAAACCTTCAAAACACAAGTAATCGAAGCAAAAATAGACCATTGGGATTACCTCAAACTAAGCAACTTCTGCACCGCTAAAAATAAACCAACAAAGTGAAGAGACAACCCACAGATTGGGAGCAAATATGTGCAAACTATGCATCTGAGATGGGATTAATAACTAGAAATATAAGAAGCTCAAACAACTCAATAAAACAAACGATTTAATTGAAAAAGGAGCAAAACACATGAAATTTCCCCACATACTAAAAAGTGCTCAGTTTCACTCATCATCAGAGAAACACAAATTAAAATCAAAGTGAGTTTTCATCTCACCCCATTAAAATGGATTTTAGGCCGGGCGTGGTGGCTCACGTCTGTCATCCTAGACCTTTGAGAGCCTGAGGTGGGTGAACCTCATAAGGTCGGGAGTTTGAGACCAGTCTGACCCACATGAAGAAACACTGTCTCTACTAAAAATACAAAATTTAGTTGGGCGTGGTGGCGTGTGCCTGTAATTCCAGCTACTCGGGAGGCTGAGGCAGGAGAATCGCTTGAACCTGGGAGGTGGAGGTTGTGGTGAGCCGAGATCGCACCACTGCACTCCAGCCTGGGTGACAAGAGCGAAACTCCATCTCAAAATAAAATGAAATAAAATAAAATGGCTTTTAGCTGCAAGACAGGCAAAGGAAATCCTGCCAAAGTGGTAGAGAAAGGAGAACCCTAATACCCTGTTGGTAGGAGTGTAAATTAGTACAGCCTTTACGGAGAAAAGTGTGGAAGTCCTTTAAAGAACTAAAAAGAGGTTGGGTGAGGTGGATCATGCCTGTAATCCCGGCACTTTGGGAGACCGAGGCGGGCACCTCAGTTGAGGTCATGAGTTTGAGAGCAGCCCAGCCAACATGGGGAAACCCCATCTATACTAAAAAAAACAAAAAGTAGCCAGGCATGGTGGCGTGCACCTGTAATCCCAGCTACTAGGGAGGCTGAGGCAGGAAAATCATTTGAACCCAGGAGGCGGAGGTTGCAATGAGCCAAGATGACTTCACTTGTACTCCAGCCTGGGCACAGAGGGAAACTGTCTCAAAAACAAAAACAAAACAACAAACGAATAACTAAAAAGAGAACTTTCATAGTATCCAGCAATTTCACTACTGGGTTTATATCCAAAGGAAAGTAAATCAATATATCGAAGTGATATCTGCACTCGTATGATTGGTGCAGCACTGTTCACAGTAGCCAAGATGTGGAGTCAACCTACCTGCCCATCAGTGGATGAATGGATAGAGAGAATGTAGTACATACGCACAGTGGAGACTACTCATCCATAGAAAGAATAACATCCTGATATTTGCAGCCACATGGATGGAACTGGAAGTCATTACAAAGATTCCCATTTCTCACCCATATACAGAGCTAAAAGGTGGATCTCATGAAGGTAGAGAGTAGAATGGTGGCTTCCAGAGGCCAGGAATAAAAGGGTGGAGGGTAAAAAAAAAAAAAAAAAAAAAAATATATATATATATATATATATATATATATATATGTTTATATATGTGTGTGTGTGTGTATATATATATATATATATATATATATATATAAATGTATTTATGACCACTAGACTTTACACTTAAAAATGGTAAATGTGGCTGGGCGTGGTGGCTCATGCCTGTAATCCCAGCACTTTGGGAGGCAGATGCGGGTGGATCACGTGGTCAGGAGTTGGAGACCAGCTCGACCAACATGGTGAAACCCCCTCTCTACTAAAAATACAAAAAGTAGCCTGGCGTGGTGGTGCGCGCCTGTAGCACCAGCTACTCAGGTGGCTGAAGCAGGAGAATCACTTGAACCCAGGAGGCGGAAGTTGCAGTGAGCTGAGATTGTGCCACTGCACTCCAGCATAGGGGACAGAGCTAGACTCTGCCTCAAAAAAAAAAAAAATGTTAAAGGTGGTAAGCTATATAGGTATATTTATCCTCAATAAATATTTCTTCAAACAAAAGTAAAGGGTGTAGGGGTTGCTGGTGATGACATCCCTGTGTGGGTGAGAGGCCAGGATGGGCTTCTGGGAAATGGGTAATGTTGAGGGGCTGAGGGAACCTCTGATCTTCCCAAACTGAGCCCAGTCTCTCTCCTCTGGGTCTCTCCTGACCGTTTTCTCCATCTGCCTGTGTGCCTGGAGCCCTGGCCGCGGGCCTTCATGCAGGCCGTGTAGGAGGGTTTGGAGGTGCCCTGTCTGCCATCCTGTGCCCTGATCCCTCCCTCACACCCAAGCTTCGTCTTCTCTCTGCATCTGTCCATGCTTCTCTCCATCATCAGCAGGAAGCTCCTCAGCTAAGGCTCTAGGATCATAGGACATGAGACAGATATGGGGTTTCCTCACCTGTGACAGAAACAAGCAGTGGGTCACTCGAGTTTGACCACTCGTATGGAGAGTCACGGAAAGAGCCGAAGCATCTGTAGGTTCCTCCGTGGGTGGCAGGGCCCAGAGGAAAGTCGGCCTGGAATGTTCCGTTGACCTTGGGCCCTGCAGAGAACCTACGTTCATGGGCCTCCCCCTCCCTGGATAGATGGTACATGTCATAGGAGCTCCGGGAGCTGCAGGACAAGGTCACGCTCTCTCCTGCCAGAACCGTGGGGCCCGGCTGGGCTGAGAGAGAAGGTTTCTCATATAGACCTGGAGGAGAAGAGGCATTTTCCTTACGGAGGATCTTCCTTGTCACAGCTCCCTTCACCTGAGCTGAGAACTCACTCCCCTGCTCTATGACCTAATGCTCTCTCTCTCTCTCTCTCTCACCCTCCACCCCATCTCTCTTCATGTCTATTTCCTTCTTCCACCTTCTCTGTCTCTCTAGGTCTCTGACCTCGCTTCCCCACCTCTAGATATGTTTTCCCTTTTTGGATTCTTTTATTCTCTCTGACTCTCCTTGGATTGGTTGACTTGATGTTACTTTTTTAAATTCTAAGTTTCTCACGTTGTGTCCTGTTCATAACTTTCTGCATATTTCTATCTATTATCTGTCGATCTATCTATTTATCTATTCGGTGCCTATCTACAAATTCTCTACCTGTCATCTATATCTATATATCATCTATGTATCTATCACTTGTCTATCTATCCATCAATCATCTGTTATTTATATGTATGTATCATCTCTCTCTCTATGATTTCTGTCTGCCTCTCTATCTGTACGTATTATCTGTCTTCATCATCATCATCTCTATGTATTATCTATTAATGAATCAATCAATCATCATCTATGTATCTTTAACCTATTATCTATCATCTACCTATTTATCATCTATCTATATCTATCCATCTATCATCTGTCTTGCTCTGCCTCTCGGTCTCTCTAGTTCTCTTTGGAATCTCTGCAATTCATCCCCACATCTCCATGTTTCTATGTCCTTGTGCCTCTCTCTCAGGACTCTAATTTTAGTGCTTTTCTCTGCTCCCTGCCATCATTCTCACCACTCCTCTGCCCTCTTTTCTCTCTCTTTATGTGTCTGTGAGTCTCTCAATCTCCTTCCTCTGGCTCATTCTCTGTGTGTTTATGTCTTTGCTTTTTGGTGTTCCTGATTTTTCTCTGTGCCTCTCAGTGATCCTTTCATATGTGGGGTTATTTGGAATGTGAGCCACAGAATCCAGTCTGGAGACCACAAGTTCACACAGCATACAGGGGTTGGTGTTCTGGGGCCATGATATCCTGGGACGATTACTCTCCATTACATGGAAGGCAGAGGTGTCAGAATAAACATGGCCTGTAGGTGCCACAAGGCCTGAGGCCACAGGGCCCAACTCAGGTCATAAATATGGGTGTCCTTGGGTTCTCCTGGTAGAGAACACTTTGTGGAGGTAAAACAGAAATGAAACTTCTAACCTGTGCCAGGTCTGTGAGCAAAGTCAGCATGGAGGGACACCTCTCTCTGGGACATGTCTGTCTGTCTGTCTCTTTTAACTCTTTCTGTCTTTTCTAACTCCCTGTATGGCCCCTGTGTCTGTCCTCTGTTATGACACCTGGTCTGTACTTGTGTCTCCTGTTTCTCTGTCTCTGTTGGTACAAACCTCAGCAAGTCAGTCTCTCTCCATAAGAATACCAAGCTCATCTTCCTTACAACTACCTGGGGGTTCCAAGTCGTGGATCATTCACTCTGCATCCCAATGACAATGAGAATGTCCGGACACTCTCACCTGTGATGACGATGTCCAGAGGGTCACTGGGAGCTGACAACTGATAGGGGGAGTGAGTAACAGAACCGTAGCATCTGTAGGTCCCTGCAAGGTCTTGCATCATGGGACCGATGGAGAAGTTGGCCTTGGAGACCCCATCATGGTGCTCTCCAATGAGGTGCAAAGTGTCCTTAAACTTCCCTTCTCTGTGCAGAAGGAAGTGCTGAAACCTGACATCTGACCAACATTGCAGGATGACTGTCTCTTCTGATTTCACCAGGGGACCTGGGTGGGCCAGGAGGGAAGGTTTTCTGTGGACTCCTAGGAAGAGAGGTTGTGAGTTTAGAAGGTGTCTCTCTTTATCATCCCATCCATGGCACCTAGAATGAGTGAGGCTTCCCCTTGCTGGTGTCTGTCTCTCTCCTTCCTCTCTGTGTCTTCATGTTCTTTTCTGTGCCCTTAACTCCTGGTGCAGGTCCTTCCATCTGTCTCCCTCCCTCTTCTCTGTCCCTCTGTCTCTAGTAGCCTCTGATTCCCTTCCCACTGGGCTGAGCCTCATCTCTTGGGGTGTTGTATCTATTTCACACTAATGTATTTCCTGCTGTTTATGTGGGGGTGAAAGAGGAACCAGGATAGGCTGCACATCCAGGCTCTTATCAGCCTGGTTCAATCTCTTTTGGATGAATTGCAATCCTTGGCAGAAGGTATGAACTGATGAATAAGGCAGGCACCAGTGTCCACACACCCTGTTCCTGGTGGGGACTGGGAGCCACTCTTGCCATGCCTGTGCCTTCTCCATGGTGCCAGCTTCCATAGGCTGGCTCCTGGTGCTGGTTGGAGGAGTATCAACCCCTCCCTATGTGGATGGAGCCTGGTGGTGGCATCATCATCCCACCCTTGCTGATCTCAGGGTAGCCAACCTTCTCCTTGTTTGGTTTCTTTAATTAATTAATTAATTATGGAGACAGAGTCTCACTCCTTCACCCAGGCTGGAGTGAAGTGGTGTGGTCTAGGCTCACTGCAACCTCTGTCTCCTGGGTTCAAGTGATTCTCCTGCCCTCAGCCTCCTGAGTCGCTAGGATTACATGCACCTGCCACCATGCCTGGCTTTCCTTGGGTTGTTTCTTAACTTGTCCTTGACCTGGGTTCCAGTGTTGGTTTCCTGTTGCTGCTGTAGAAAATTATCAGAAGCATGGCAGCAGGAGAGACCACACTGACACCTTCCAGTACTGGAGACAGAAATTGGACCCTATTTTTCCTGGGCTAAAATCAAGGCATCTGCAGGGCTTTGTTCCCTCTGGAGACTCTGGAGAATCAGTTCCTTGACTTTTCCAGCCTCTATAGGCCACCTGCATTCATGGATCTTGGCCTTCCTCCACCTTCAAAGCTGGTGAAGACTTCCACTGGACTGCTCTAATCCCCACTCCCCTCTTCCTCCTCCTTTCATGTGCACCCTTGTGATTACACTGAGCCCAGTGGGACAGTCCAGGCTGTCTCCCCATGAGCTCCATCTTCCCCTTCAGTCCCTTCCCCTATAACATAAATAGTCACAGACTCCAGGGATTAGAATGTAGTCATCACTGGGGACAATTATTCTTCCCACCACAGCACCCATTTCCCTGTATTCAATCCCCCTTTACCACAAATACAGTCAGGGCCTGCGTGATGGGACCCTCAAGGACATGCCCAACAGAAGCTCTGGGATTCAGGAGGTGGGACAAGGAGAATCCAAGACAGGAGCCCTCTGACCTATGACCACGATCACCAGGGGGTTGCTGGGTGCTGACCACCCACTGGGGGAGTGTGTGTGTGAACCCCGACATCTGTATGTCCCTGTGTGTGCGGGGGTCACAGGGCCCATGAAAAGGCTGTTCCAGAATATTCTGTTGTAGAGCTCAGGGACAGGCACCCCACCTTCCTTTTACAGACTGAAGTTGTTAAACCCAAGATAAGAGTGACACCGAAGAATGACATGTCCTAGAGGCACCACAAGGCTGGGCCAGGCAGACAGCAAGGGCTTGTCCTGACCACCTTGGGGAGAAGGAGGCGCCGCCTTAGAGAGGAGGATGTGGAACTGCCCTTCCCTCCCTGTGCTCAGAAGATTCTCCTCGCTTTCCACGTTTCTATGGCTACTATCACACCTTGGTGCCCAGGGCTGAAGGAAGGACCCATCCCGCAAAGACATGGTGTCTCCCTACAACAAAAGCCTCAGCTGAGAACTTTGAGCAAGTGCTGAGTAAAGAGACTCCTACTAGATTTTAATACTGTAAGATTACTCACATAAAACAACACAGGGTAGACATGAGGTGGAGGGCATGTCCTTTGTGAATGGATATCAGCGGATGCCTGAACGAAAATAAACAACTGAGCCCCCATCAGAGGATTTGGAATGTCAGGGCCATGGCTGTGGTTTCCCACCTCTTCTGGTAGAATGACAGCAGCCACACTGCAGCCCCTACCATCATGGAAACGCTGAAGTGTGTGAGTAACACCTTTGTCCTCAGAGGATCTGCTGTTCCTACCACTTCCCAACCACACACCCCAGCTTTGAGCACCCCAGTCTAACCCTGGTCCCCACAGAACTTGACTCTGCCAAGGGGTTGAGAGGCCAGGGAGGCGAGGTCAGAAATGTGGGCTGAGCACCCCAGGGTCCTCTCTTCCTAGTTTATGAGAGACTCCCCGACAGGACTTCCCTCCTGTTTCAGGAAAATCCTCTTATGTGGGGAGATGACACCCGAAGGTTTGGAGAAGGACTCACCCTCATGTGGCCAGGCCCCCTGCAGCAAGAAGAACCCTGGAAAGAAAGATCATGATGGACCATCCATCTGCAGGCAAACCAGGCCTCCCTTGCTGCCCCCACTGGGCTGTGAGTCTTGGCAGCCAGGCCCTTCCTGGGCTGAAGTTAAACTCACCCTCAGTGCCTACCTGCACCCAAGAACAGGGCTGTCGGCTGTGCAGAGACCCAGTTTCCAGGCCCATATCCCCACCCCAAGCCCATATCTCCACTCCAGGCTGATATTTCCACCCTAGGCCCATATCGCCAATCCAGGCTCAGATCTCCACCCTAGGCCCCTATCTCCAATCCAGTCCCATATCTCCGCCCCAGGCCCAGATCTCCACCCTAAGCCCATATCTCCACTCCAGGCCCATATCACCTCTCCAGTCCCATATCTCCACACCCAGGCCCATATCTCCTTCCTAGGCCCATATCTCCACTCCAGGCCCAGATATCCATCTCTAGGCCCATAACTCCACTCCTGGCCCATATCTCCACTCCAGGCCCATATCTCTACTGCAGGCCCGTATCTCCACCTCCAGACCCATATCTCCACTCCAGGCCCATATCTCCACCTCCAGGCCCATATCTCCACCTCCAGGCCCATATCTCCACTCCAGGCCCATATCTCCACTCCAGGCCCCTATCTCTACTGCAGGCCCATATCTCCATCTCCAGGCCCATATCTCCATCTCCAGGCCCATGTCTCCACTACAAGCCCATATCTCTACTGCAGGCCCATATCTCAACCTCCAGGCCCATATCTCCACTCCAGGCCCAGATCTCCACTCCAGGCCCAGATCTCCACTTCTAGGCCCATCACTCCATCTCTAGGCCCATAACTCCACTTCCAGGCCTATATCTCCAACTCTGGGCCCCGATCTCCATCCCCGCACTCCCTCCCTCGATGCCCTTCCAGGACTCACCAACACACACCATGCTGACGACCATGAGCGACATGGTGCTGTCTGTGCAGACAGGCGGCCGCGCCCCAGCTCAGCTCAGCAGCGCACAGGATGTTATTTGGCGCCCTGCCCATGCAGTTTACATGTTGACCACATCATGGGAGGGTGACGTACGCAGGCTCTTTCTACCTTGCATGAGGCCCAGTGGGTGCTCGCTCAAGAGCGGAACATGGCTTCCTGGAAATTGTTCTCACTAGAATTGACACCTTGCGTCCTTCACTACGACCAGACTCAAAAGACGTCTCAGATCCAACCTCTCATACACGAGATGATTGAATTCTGTGCTTACATTAAAGATTTTTGATGTATTTTTGTTTTTATCTGAGATTCAAACTCTTCTTCATATGTAATGTGCAAAATGTCTAACAGGTATTATTAACATTATCAGAGTAATTGTGACAAGAAGCCATTCTAATTTTCCTGCTTGAGTTTCTACTACTAAACCAGAGGCATCAGAATAGCTTGAACCTGGGAGACGGAGGTTGCAGTGAGCTGAGCTCAAGCCACTGAACTCCAGCTTGGGTGACAGAGGAAGAGTCTGTCTCAAGAAAAAAAAAAAAAGCAAACTAAATAACCTATAATAACAAATCAGAGGACTCAGGTTACCAAATTTTAAGGGGTTCTATAAGTTTATATAAAATGCAGCATCCTCATGAGAGGGGATACAGAGAACCACTGGACAGAAAACTGTGTCTAAAATACATCTGTGGATACACAGTCCCTTTATAGTTGACAAAGGCTGCCATGTAGTTTAAGGTGGAATAGAATATTTTCTCAACAAATAACACAGGACCATAGGGTTACACGTAGGAAAAAATAAATCTAAACTTATCCTCACACTATAAAAACACTTCTTATTTTTTATCTTGTTGTTGTAAATTTTTTATGCTTTATTTTTAAGATTGACAAATAAAAATTATATACCATGGTCCTTCACTATACCTGGGTGATTGGTTCCAGGATCCCCATTCAGATACCAAAATCTGCAGATGCTCAAGCCCCTTGCATGAAATGGCATAGTGAAGCTGGGCACCGTGGCTCACGCCTGTAATCCCAGCACTTTGGGAGGCTGAGCTGGGTAGATCACAAGGTCAGGAGTTCAAGACCAGCTGGTCCAACATTCTGAAACCCCATCTCTACTAAAAATATACACACAAAAAAATTTATCTGTGCAGGGTGGCACGTGCCTGTAATCCTAGGGGAGGCTACTGGGGAGGCTGAGGGAAGAGAATCGCTTGAACCTGGAAGGCGGAGGTTGCAGTGAGTTGAGATCACGCCACTGCACTCCAGCCTGGGTGAGAGAGTGAGACTGTCTCAAAAAAAAAAAAAAATAGCATAGCAATTGCATAGAACCCATGCACATCCTCCTGTATACATGAAATCATCTCTTGATTACTTATAATTCCTGACACAGCCTACACGCCACTCAATTTGTGTCGATTCAACATAGTTTTTTGCTTTTTGAAACTTCGGGGATTTTTTTTCTCAAAATATTTTTGATTTATTGCTGATTCAATAAACATGTGTAAACCCCAGAGATATGGAGGAGTGACTGTCTATTTATAGTAGTATGAAAGATGATGTGTTGATACGTGTCCCTGTGGAGATGAGACTAACAAGGCCTATGACTCTACAAATGTTTCATCGTGGAATGACTCTGCCAGCTTTCCAGATCTGCAGAGAGTAAGAATATCACTTGTTCATCTGATTCACCATCCTTGGAACCTCCTATGTGCTGCATCTTTGGATGGAAATTGGAGTCTCAGAGACAATTCAGGCTCCACCCTGCTTCCAGAAGCTCAGAGTCCAGGGGTGAGAACCCAGCGGAGAACAGATGGGGTTATGTGGACGTGGTAATGATAACACCGGAAGCCTTAGGCAAGAAAAGAGTCCCATTGACGAAACCATGAGGGCAGACATGTTTACTTGAAGAAGAGAAAACTACATTGAAATTATAAAAAAAATTTATAAGTTTTACTGCTGACAGAAGGCTGAAAGATACTCTGAGGAAAGGTGGAATAGCACGTATCTAAGTGCCGTGTTAAGAGGGAGCCTCTTATATGTTTGGAATTGTGAGTTCCTCAGTGTGATCGCAGCCTCAAGTAGACTAGGAAGTAAGCCAGTTAGGTTGGAGAGGTGGGCAGGGGTCAAGTGAAATGGAGAATTGTGGGCTAAGCAAGTGTGTTTTCTCTCCAGCAGGCAGTGGGGACCTTAGACATTTGTAAGCAAGAGAGAGGCATGTTCAGATTCGTGGTGTGAGGAAGAGCGATGCCCTAAGATGCAGACTCACGCCTTCAGATTCCAGCTGCTGGTACATGGGAGCTGGCAACCCGGTTTTGAGACAGGGCTATTGTCTCCCTAGAAGATCCCATCAAGGCCTGACTGTGGTGCTAGTGGACAGAAGACAACTTTGGATCTGCGCTCAGCATTTGGAAGTTCCGTGTTACACGCTGGTATCTGTTGGGGGTGTCTTGGGCCTCTGAGAAGGGCGAGTGATTTTTCTCTGTGTGAAAACGCAGTGATTCAACTGTGCGTATGTCACCTCCTGAGGGTCTTGTTCATCAGAGTCCTGGAGGGAGGGAAATGCTGAGTGAGGGAGGGTGCTCACATTTTCCAGGACTCTTTGGGAATAAGACTAGCCACGAGGCTGGGCGGAGGAGCACCTACCTCCCTGTTCACTGTTCTGTTCCCTGCAGGCTCTTGGTCCATTACAACAGCATCTGTAGAAGACGGAAGTCGTCAAAACAGCTCGGAGGGCACTTCTGGGTCCTCATTTCATAAGCAGATACCAACATACAGGGGGAGGCCATAGGTGCCTGAGGTCCCTCAGTTGCCAACAGCAGACTCAGACATTCTATCTCTCTGAGCTCAAGGATCCATCCCATGTATAGCTCTGAGTTCCCATCCTATTGATTCTGTGTCCCACTTTCTGCCTGTCATGGAACCTTCTCCTGGATGTGAGTGGCTGCAGGGGATGTGAGGATACGG
The DNA here is from genome assembly GCF_000001405.40 of Homo sapiens. Taxonomy (NCBI): domain Eukaryota; kingdom Metazoa; phylum Chordata; class Mammalia; order Primates; family Hominidae; genus Homo; species Homo sapiens. The sequence goes on along the minus strand of NW_016107309.1, from coordinate 37,174 downwards.
TTCAGAATCAGGCAATGGTCTGTGAGCTGAAGGCAGAGGCAGGGAGTCTGGTGCTCTCTCTAGAAAGTCCTGCCTCTGTGGCTCCTGCCTTGGGCCAGGGACCATCCTGCCTGTGAGGAACACACACCTGAGTGCTCCCATCCTGCTTCCCCACATGGCCCTGAGCTCTCTGGCTTCTGCTTCGTGAGACTTACTCTTTTTGTTGGCACACCAGCGATGAAGGAGAAAGAAGAGGAGGATAGCAAAGGGGATGATGACCACTGAGGTCCCAATCAGAACGTGCAGGTGTCTGGAGTTACCTGGAGGAAGACAAGACACCAATAAGAAGCTAATCATAGCAGTTCCTCTATATGAATTGTCTCACATTTCTTGATTGACAGGTAACCACATACAACGTCTCTTTAGGACAAGCACCCAGATGGCGGGAGACCTAGCTTCCTCCTGCTTTCTCAGTTGTAGTAACCATAGAACGTGCTGAGGATACAACTGCTTTAGTTTAGATGTTTGACCCCTTCAAACCTCACATTGAAATGTAACCCCCAGGGTGGGAGGTTGGGCCTCTTGGGAGTTGTTTGGGTCATGGAGGTGGATCCATCATGAACAGATCAATGCTGTTCCAAGGAGACGGGGTTAGCAAGTTCCCCCTCTATTAGTTCCTGGAGAACTGGTTGTTAAAAGAGCTTGGAAGCTCCATCGCTCCCCCTCCCCCTTGGTCCCTCTCTTGCCGTGTGATCTCTGTGGTCTCTGCACAGACAGACCCTCCTTCCCTTCTGCCAGAGTGGGAGCAGCCTGAGGCCGTCACAAGAAATAGATGCTGGTGCCATGCTTCCAGTACAGCCTGCAGAACTGTGAGGCAAACACATTTCTTTTCTTTAGAAGTTACCCAGGCTCAAGTGTTCCTTTAGAGCAACAAAAATGGACTAAGACAGCAACGTCCTGAGATCAGGAGGAACATCCCAGAACAGCCTGGGCTGTCTTCCTGTTCTTCCTGGAGGAGGACGTCATGCAGTGCTTTAGCTGAGTGCTTCCTGTGGCTCCAGGGTACAAAACCCAGGCTGGGCTGCTTTTTGATTTCCCCCAGATACACTGCATATGGGGTGACTCCACATGTCTCGAGCAGCTTTTCTGAGCCTTGAGGGACTGGCTCACATTGAAATGTAGGTTTCTGTTGTCACTCGCTGCTTATCTGTTAGTAATGAACCTGCCTGTGTAATGTGTTCTCTGTGTGTTCTGTCTCCCTGGAGTGACGGTGAGTGATAGGAATTGGTATAGGCCCAGGTGCATTCCAGGAGGTGTTTAGAATCTTCTCTGGGAAGACTGGATTGGGATTGATACACAGCGAATGTGCTTTACAGTTTCTACCACCACAACCCTCTTGACTCAAAAAAATTACATTCTCCAAGAAAAGAAAGAAAAAATGAAATCAAGATAAAAAAAGTGAAGTAGAACTGACTTAAATCAAACAGCCATGAAATAATGATGTAGCCCAGGAACAACATGCTACTTTTTGTGATCTGCTGAGACATATATTAGGCTGCTATTCCACCCGAGAAGCACGGGGAAGGACCGCCCTCTCCGTCGTTTATTGTTTCAATACAGCCTGTCCTTCTGTGAGTTAGTACGAAATGTGACCAGGGGCTAGTGCTGGCACTGGTCTCTGAGTCCAAGATCTGAGCTCACTCCAAAGAGTATTAGTGTTTACCTCCCCATGATCTATCTGTATCTCCATAGGTGATTGGAAGTAGAGATGAATTGGGGGATTTGGGTGAAGGGGCAAGTTTTATGCCATGAACAGAGCACGTTCTCTATTCCAGGACCTGTGCTGGTGGGTTCAGGAGGCTTTCACATTTTCCATATGATCCCAAGCTCACAGAAAGCCAAATAAGGAAGAGGTTTAACCTGATTGTTTAATGGATAAGATAAAGGGTCAAAGAATTAAACACAGAGAAATAGAAAAATGATGGTTGGTATCCAGTTGCCTTTGTAATTTCTGTGTGTCATAATTATGTATGTTTTATTTTTATTTTTTGAGACAGAGTCCCCCTGTGTCAGGCTGGAGTGCAGTGATGCGATCTCAGTTCAACCTCTGCCTCCAGGGTTGAAGCCATTCTTCTGCTTCAGCCTCCCCAGTCGCTGGGATTACAGGCAGGTGCCAATGCACCAGGCTAATTTTTGTATTTTTAGTACAGACGGGGTTTCACCATGTTGGCCAGGCTGGTCTCAAACTCCTACCCTTAAGTGATCTACCCGCCTTGGCCTCCCAAAGTGTTGGGTTACAGGTGTGAGCCCCCATCCACAGTCTTGTATATTATATTATACTAGGTCCCTTCATTTGCACCACCCCTCATGTGTCTATCGCTCCTCTGCCAGGTATGGATTTAGATGTAGAAAAAAAACACATCTCAGAAAGAAATTAATGAAACAAGGATTAAACTACTAGGAAAAATCAAACCCAGCAAGCCCTCCCTGCAAATGATTCTACCTCACAAGCATAGCTTATATCCATCTTTCATTCATTTAGTGTGTAAATCAACCCTACGTTTCACCAGTGGGGCGGGAATTGCCTTTTCCACGGTCTCCTAGATTCCAGTTACGCACCTGGGCCTCCCTTATTTTCATGTCGGTCACTGTTAATCAGGTAGGGATTCCTAGTTAGCTCTGAGTTGAATCCAAGGGCTGTGAGTATCAAAAACATGCTCCTTGTTCCTCCTTAGTTTCCTGTGTACCCAGTGTGCTCTCCATCTCTCTACAGTTGTCTTGTCATTCTCCCCATCTCATTCCCAGCATTTGAGGCAGAGCCTCTTCCTTGAACTAAGAATGTTTCCACCTTTGTGCCTTCACGGCTGAGAGCTCAGTGTGGAAAATCCTTCCGCCAATCTTCCAAGGGTTGAATCCATTTTTTCCATTAAGGTCACAAATATTATCTGATCAGTGAGACCTTCTCTGTCACCTGAAATTATATACTCAGCATTATCTATTACTTATTTTAAATCCTGGCTGGGCGCAGTAGCTCTCGCCTGTAATCTTTGCACTTAGGGACGCTAAGGCGGTGGGATCACTTGAGATTGGGAGTTTGAGACAGCCTGCACAACATGGTGAAACCTCATTTCTACTAAAAAATATACCAAAAAAATTAGCCGAGTGTGGTGGCGCACAGCTGTAATCCCAGCTACTCGGTAGGCTGAGGCAGGAGAATTGCATGAACCCAGGAGGCAGAGGTTGCAATGAGCTGAGATTGTGCTACTGCACTCCAGCCTGTGGAACAGAGAGAGACTCTACTCAAAAAAAAAAAAGAAAACAAAAAAAACACACACACACAAAAAACCCCAGATTTGGTGCACAGATGCTTCCCAATGGATCATTCATTTATTGGTACCCTTGTGCATTCATTCTCTGCCCTCGCATTTACCCATCTGCAATATCAGCGTCCCAAGAGCAGAGGCCAAATGCATCCTGTTTACCATTTGTGGAAGGCAGGAGAATGCTGCCCCACCCCCAAAATGTCCCTGTCTTAGCCTCCATAGCTTGTGAATATGTTATTTTACAGGAAAGGAGGAATGAAGATTGCAGATGGCATTACGGTTGCTAATCAGCTGAACTTAAAAAGAGGGTACGCTGGATGATTTTAGGGAGATTGAGATGGATTATCTTGGTGACCCCAATAGAATCCCAAAGTCCTTAAAAGATGAGGAAGAAGGCAGAGCAGGATTCAGAGAAAAAGGTATGGGTAAAGAAGAAGAGTCTGAATGATGCCATGTGAGACGTGACCAGCCTTTGTGGGCTTTGAGGAAGGAGGAAGGAGGAAGGGGACCAGGGGCCCAGGAACGTGGGAGCCTCTAGGAGCTGGGAAACGTTAAGGAGCAGATTCTTGCTTGGAACCTTAAAAAGAAATCCAGCCTTACTCTCCCTTTGATATCAGCCCAGTGAAATGCAGTTCATACTTCTGAGTTACAGCACTGTGAGATAATTAAGAAAAACATGTTTTCATCCACGAAGCTTGTGGAAATTTGTTATGGCAACAATAGGAAAAGATTCCACACTGCACAGCCAGAGCATGGGGCATTGGCTGAACGAGTGAGTGAGTGGAAGTGTCGTGTGCATAAATAAGCTAAATTCTCTCTTACTGCACGTCTCTTGCTCTGCTGAGTCAACCAGGGTTGCATCTGGTACACTGCTGATACGAATGTAAATTAGTACAGCCATTACAGAGGAGAAGAGTATGGAAGTTCCTCAAAAAATAAAATGAGGTCGGGCACAGTGGTTCATGCCTGTAATCCCAGCACATTGGGAGGCCGAGGTGGGTAGGTCACTTGAGGTCAGGAGTTGAAGAGCAGCCTGGCCAATATAGCGAAACTCTGTCTCTACTAAAAATATAAAAATTAGCCGAGTGTGGTGGTGGGAGCCAGTAACCCAGCTACTTGGGAGGCTGAGGCTGGGGAATCTCTTGAATCCTGGAGGTGGAGGTTGCAGTGAGCCCAGATGGCACCACTGCACTCCAGCCTGGGCAACAAGAGTGAAACTGTCTAAAAAAAACAAAAACAAAAACAAAAACCATAAAACAAAATGTAAAAAGACACTTCCAGAGGATCTAGCAATTCCATGACTGGGTGTAAACCCAAAGGAAAGGACATCAGCGTATCGAAGTGACATCTGCACTCCCATGACTGTTCCAGCAGTGTTCACAGTAGCCAAGATGTGGATCAACCTACCCGCCCATCAGTGGGTGAATGGATGGAGAGAATGTGGTACACACACACAATAGGGACAACTCATCCATAGAAAGAGTAACATCCTGTCATTTACAGCCACATGAATGGAACTGGAGGTCATTACAAGTATTTCCATTTCTCACTCATATGCAGGAGCTAAAAGGTGGATCTCACAAAGGTAGAGAGTAGAATGGTGGCTACCAGAGGCCAGGAAGGGAAGGGTGGAGGGTAAAAAAAAAAGAATACTAATTAATTAATTAATTAATTTTGAGAGAGTGTCTCTCTCTGTTGCCCAGGCTGCAGTGCAGTGGCATGATCTCAGCTCACTGCAACCTCCGCCTCCTGCAATTAAGTGCAACTCCTGCCCAACCCTCCCAAGTAGCTGGGACTACAGGCATGTGCCACCATGCTCGGCTAATTATTATCATTATTATTATTATTTTGTATTTTTAGTACAGATGGATTTTCCCCATGTTGGCCAGGGTGGTCTTGAGCCCCTGATCTCAAATGATCCACCTGCCTTGGCCTCTCAAAGTGTTGGGATTACAACCGTGAGCCACCGTGCCCAGCCTATAAATGTATTTATGAACAGTAGACTTCACACTTAAAAATGGTAAAGGTGGTAAATTACATAGGTATATTTCACCTCAATAAATATTTCTTCAAACAAAAAGAAAAGGGTGTAGGCGTTGCTGGTGATGACATCTCTCTGTGGGTGACAGGCCAGGATGGGCTTCTGGGAAGTGGGTAAGGTTGAGGGGCTGAGAGAACCTCTGATCTCCCCAGGCAGAGCCCAGTCTCCCTCCTCTGGGTCTGTTCTGACCTCTTTCTCCATCTGCCTGGGTGCCTGGAACCCTGATCAAGGGCCTCCTTGCAGGCCATACAGGAGGGTTTGGAGGTGCCCTGTCTGCCATCCTGCGCCCTGACCCCGCCCTTACACCCATGCTGTGTGTTCTGTCTCGGCATCTGTCCATGCTTCTCTCCATCATCAGCAGGAAGCTCCTCAGCTATGGCTCTAGGATCACAAGACATGGGACAGGCATGGTGTTTTCTCACCTGTGACAGAAACGGGCAGTGGGTCACTCGGGTCTGACCACGCGTGGGGCAGGGCACGGAAAGAGCCGAAGCATCTGTAGGTCCCTCCGTGGGTCACAGGGCCCAGAGGGAAGTTGGCCTGGAATGTTCCATTGACCCTCAGCACCGCAGTGAGCCTAAGTTCACCGGCCTCTGCCTCCCTGGATAGATGGTAAATGTCAAACAAGCTCCGGGAGCTGCAGGACAAGGTCACATTCTCTCCTGCCTGAACCGTGGGGCCCGGCTGGGCTGAGAGAGAAGGTTTCCCATATAGACCTGGAAGAAGAAGAGGTGGTTTCCTCAGGGAGGTTCTTCCTTGTCACAGCTCTCCTCACACCTGAGCTGAGAACTCACTCCCCTGCTCTATGACTTAATGCTCTCTTTCTCTCTCTCACCCTCCACCCCCATCTCTCTTCATGTCTATTTCCTCCTTCCACCTTCTCTGTCTCTCTAGGTCTCTGACCTCACTTCTCCATCCCTAGCTATGTTTTCTTTTTTTGTACCATTTTATTCTCTCTGACCCTCCTTGGACTGGTTGACTTGATCTTCCTCTTTCTTTAATTCTGAGTCTCTCACTTTCTGTCTTGCTCATAACTTTCTGCATATTTCTATCTACTATCTATTGATCGATCTATCATTTATCTATGTATGTATCTATCATCTATCATCATCTGTGTATCTATGACCTATCTCTCTGTTATCTATCATCTATCAATCAATGTATGTATGTATGCATCTATCCATCTATCATCATGTGTTTATCTGTCTTTCTATCTCTCTATATCTATTTATATATCATCTGTCTGTCTTTCTACTTGTCTATCTATATCATCTATCAGTCATTCATCATCTATTTGTCTATCACCTGTCTCTCTATTATCTATCATATACCTTTTATCTTTCATCTATCTATATCTATCTATCCATCTATCATCTGTCTCTCTCCATCTCCTTGTCTTTCTCTGCCTCTCAGTCTCTCTAGTTCCCTTTTGGAGTCTCTGCAATCCATCCCCACATCTTTATCTTTCCCTGTCTTTGTGCCCCTCCCTCAGGGCTCTGATTTTAGGGCTTTTCTCTGCTTCCTTCCATCATACGCTCCACTTCTCTGCCCTCTTTTTCTGTCTCTTTATGTGTCTGTGAGTCTCTCAATTCCCTTCTTCTGGCTCATTCTGTGTGTGTGTTCATGTCTTTGCTTTTTGATTTCCCTGATTTCACTCCGTGTCTCTCTGTGGGCTTTTGTTCTCAGTAATCCTATAACATGTGGTGCTATTTGAATATGAGCCTCAGAATCCAGTATGGGGACTCCAGGAACTCACAACATACAGGGGTTGGTGTTCTGCTCCCTCACCTGGGGCCATGGTGTCCTGGGACGATGACAGCTCCACTGCACGGAAGGCAGAGGTTTAAGAATAAACACAGCATCTGTAGGTGCCACCAGCCTGGGGCCACACGGCCCAACTCAGGCCAGATAGATGTGTCTCTTTGGGTTCTCCTGGGAGAGAACACTTTGTAGAGGTAAAACAGAATGGAACCTTCTAACCTGTGCCTGGTCTCTGAACAAAGTCAGCATAGAAGGACACCTCTCTCTGGGATATATCTGTCTCTCTGTGTCTTCTTTACCTCTTTATCTCTTTTTCTAACACCTTGTATGGCCCCTGTGTCTGGCTTCTATGTTATGACATGAGGTCTGTACTTGTGTCTCCTGTTTCTCTGCCTTTGTTGGTACAGACCTCACCAAGTCACTTTCTCTCCATAGGAACCCCACACTCATCTTCCTCATGACCACCTGGGGCTTCCAGTCCTAGATCATTCACTCCATCTCCCAGCAAGGGTGAGAGGCAGGTCTGTATTCTCTCACCTACGACCACGATGTCCAGAGGGTCACTGGGAGCTGACAACTCATAGGGTAAGTGAGTGACAGAACCAAAGCATCTGTAGGTCCCTGCAAGGGCAGGTGTCATGGGACCCATGGAATAGTTGACCTGGGAACCCGCATCGTGGAGCTGTCCAACGAGGCGCAAGGGGTCCTCAGTGATCCCCTCTCTGTGCAGAAGGAAGCGCTCAAAACTGACATCTGACCAACATTGCAGGATGACCGTCTCTCCCGATTTCACCAGGGGACCTGGGTGGGCCAGGAGGGAAGGTTTTCTGTGGACTCCTAAGAAGAGAGGTTGTGAGTTCAGAAGGCGTCTCCCTTTCTCATCCCATTCATGGGACCTGAAATAAGTGAGGCTTCCCCTCCATGGTGTCTATCTCTCTCCTTCCTCTCTGTGTCTCCGTGTTCTTTTGTGCCCATAACCCCTGTTGCAGGTCCCTCCATCTGTCTCCCTCCCTCTTCCCTGTCTCTCTGTCTCTAGTAGCCCTGATTCCCTTCCCACTGTGCTCAGTGTCACCTCTTAGGCTGTTGTATCTGTTTCCCACTAATCTCTTTCCTGTGTTTATGTAGGGGTGGAAGAGGAACCACGACAGGCTGCATGTCCAGGCTCTTAGCAGCCTGAATCAATCTCTTTTGGACAGATTGGAAAGGCTGGCAGGAGGTACGAACTCATCAGTAAGGCAGGCATCAGTGTCCCTGTTCCTGATGGGGATTGGGAGCCTCTCCTGTCATGTCTGTGCCTTCTCCATGGCCCCAGCTTCCATAGGGTGGCCCCTGGTGCTGGTTCCAGGAGCATCAACCCCTCCCTATGTGGATCGAGCCTGGTGGTAGCATCAGTATCCCACCCATGCTAAAATCAGTGTAGCCAACCTTCTCCTTGTTTGGTTTCTTAACTTGTGCTTCACCTGGGTTCCTGTGTTGGTTTCCTGTTGCTGCTGGAGAAAATTGTCACAAACATGGGGCAGGAGAGAATACAATGACCCCTTCCACTTCTGGAGAACAGAAATCGGACCCAGTTCTCTCTGGGCTAAAATCAAGGCATCTACAGGGCTGTGTTTCCTCTGGAGACTCAGGGAAGAATCAGTTCCCTTGACTTCTCCAGCCCTTAGAGGCCAACTGCCTTTGTGGCTCATGGCCTTCCCCCATCTTCAAAGCCCGCTGTGGCTGATGGAGTCTCCCTCCCACGACGTTGCTCTAACCCCACTTTCCTCTTCCTCCTCCTCTCATGAGGACCCTTGTGATTACTCTGAGCACAGCAGGACAGTCCAGGCTGTCTCCCCATCGCAAGGTCAACTCATCAACAACCTGAGCTCCATCTTCCCCTTCAGTCCCCTGCCCTATGACATAAATAGTCACAGGGTTCATGGATTACCATGTAGCCATCACTGGGGACAATTATTCTTCCCACCACAGCAACTATTTCTCTGTACTGAATCCCCCTTTACCCCAAATACAGCCAGGGCCTGGATGATTGGACCCTGATGGACACCCCCACCAGAAGCTCTGGGATTCAGGAGGTGGGACAGTGAGAAGCCCAGACAGAAAGCCTCTGACCTGTGACCATGATCACCACAGGGTTGCTGGGTGCCGACCACCCAGTGGGGGAGTGTGGGTGTGAACTGCAACATCTGTAGGTCCCTGCATGTGCTGGGGTCACAGGGCCCATGAGAAAGCTGTTCCGGAATATTCTGTTGTAGAGCTCAGGGACAGGCATCCCGTCTTCTTTGGACAGACTGAATTCTTTAAACCCAAGACGAGAGCGACACTGAAGAGTCACATGTTGTCCTTCAGACACCACAGTGCCGGGCCAGGCAGAGAGGAAGGGCTTGTCCTGACCACCTGGGGGAGAAGGAGGCACTACCTTAGAGAGGAGGATGTGGAGCCGCCCCTCCCTCCCTGTGCTCAGAAGATTCTCCCATTTCCACGTTTCTAAGGCTCCTACCACACCTGGGTGCCCAGGGCTACAGGAAGGACCCATCCCGCATAGACATGGCGTCTCCCTACAGCAAGTGTCAGCTGAGAACTTTGAGCAGGTGCTGAAGAAGCGACTCTTACTAGATTTTAACACTGCAAAATTACTTACATAAAAGAACACAAGGTAGACACAGGATGGAGGGCATGATCAGCTAATGCATGAACCATAATAAACAACTGAGCCCCTATTAGAAGATCTGGAATGTCAGGGTCATGACTGTGGTTCCCCCACCTCTTAGGTAGAATGACAGCAGCCACATTGCAGCCCCTACCGTCATGGAAACGCTGGAGGGTGTGAGTTATGCTCTTGTCCTCAGAGGCCTGTTGTTCCTTGCACTGCTTCTCTCCCTTCCTCTGCCGGTGACACCACTTCCTCCCTGCACACCACTCCTTTGAGCACTTCAGTCTCCCCCTGGGTCCCCACAGACTCAGCCAAGGGAAAGAAAGGCCGGGGAGGGCTAGGACAGAACTGTGGCGAAGCTTCCCCTGGCTTCCTTTTCCTAGTTCATGAGAGATTCCCACATGGCTTCCCATGGTCAGCCCATCAGTCAACCCCCTGTGTCGCCTGCCTCCCGTTTCAGGAGCATCATCTTATGTGGGGAGATGACAACCTAAGGTTTGGGGGAAGGACTCACCCACATGTGGCCAGGGCCCCTCCAGCAAGAAGAACCCTGGAAAGAAAGATCATGATGGATGATCCATCTGTACATCACCTCCAGGCCCATATCTCCACTCCAGGCCCATATCTCCACCTCTAGGCCCATATCTCCACTCCAGGCCTATATCTCCACCTCCGTCCTATATCTCTACTCCAGGCCCATATCTCCACTCCAGGCCTATATCTCCACCTCCGTCCTATATCTCTACTCCAGGCCCATATCTACACTCCAGGCCCATATCTCCACCTCCAGGCCTGTATCTCCACCTCCAGGCCCGTGTCTCCATTCCAGGCCCATATCTGCACTCCAAGCCAACATCTCCACTCCAGGCCCGTATCTCTACTCCAGGCCCATATCTACAGTTCCAGGCCCATATCTCCACCTCCAGGCCCATATCTCCACTCTAGGCCCATATCTCCACCTCCAGGCCCGTATCTCAATTCCAGGTCCATATCTGCACTCCAAGCCAATATCTCCACTCCAGGCCCATATCTACAGTTCCAGGCCCATATCTCTACTCCAGGCCCATATCTCTACTTCAGGCCCATATCTACAGTTCCAGGCCCATATCTCCACTCCAGGCCCATATCTCCACCCCAGGCCCATATCTCCACTCCAGGCCTATATCTCCACTCCAGGCCCATATCTCCACTCCAGGCCCAGATCTCCACTCCAGGCCCAGATCTCCACCCCAGCGCTCCCTCCCTCGATTCCCTTCCAGGACTCACCAACACACGCCATGCTGACGACCATGAGCGACATGGTGCTGCCGGTGCAGACAGGCGGCTGCGCCCCAGCTCAGTTCAGCAGCACACAGGATGTTGTGAGGGGCTCATGCAGTTTACATGCTGACCACATCATGGGAGGATGACGTATGCAGGCTATTTCTACCTTGCATGAGGCCCAGTGGCTGTTTGGTCAAGAGCGGAACATGGCTTCCTGGAAATTGTTCCAACTAGAATTGACACCTTGCATCCTTCACTATAACCAACTCAAAACACGTCTCAGATCCAATCTCTCATACAGGAGATGACTGAATGCTTGGCTTACATTAAAGACTTTTGATGTATTTTTGTTGTTTTTATCTGAGATTCAAACTCTTCTTCATGTGCTATTTTCCCCAGGCTGTTCTTTGACTTCAGAGTTCAAGCAATCCTCCTGCCCCAGCATTTCTAGCAGCTGGCAGTATGTCACAATCTGCCACACCCAAGTCACAACTTTTAGAACTTTTTTTTTTTTTGAGACGCAATCTCACTTCGTCACCCAGTTTGGAATGCAGTGGTGAGACCTCGGCTCATTGCAGCCTCCACCTCCCAGGTTCACGCAATTCTCGTGCCTCAGCCTCCTAAGTAGCTGGATTTACAGGCACCCACCATCACGCCCACCTAATTTTTGTACTTTTAGTAGAGAGGAGGTTTCTCCATGTTGGCCAGGCTGGTCTTGAACTCCTAACCTCAAGTGATCTGTCTACTTCAGCCTCCCAAAGTGCTGAGATTACAGGTGTGAGCCACCATGCCTGGCCGGGACATTCTATATGTGTGCGTATGTGTGCGTTTATATACATATGGTTATACACACACACACACACACACACCCTAAGCACTCACATATATAGTTGTTTCAAATTTTAAAAAATATAAATTTTGTATTTTTCTTTCTTTTTCTCACATTTGTGTTTCTATGACACCATATACATATTGAATTTTATAGTTCTATTTTATTCTTTTGGATTGCAGTTTAATAGTCCATACATAACTTTATCAACATGTAATTATCCACTCTTTTTATCATGGACATTTGTGTTGTTTCCGGATTTTCTCTTTTATAACTCGGGCCTTGATAATCGTGTTTCTGTGTGATCCCTTGCATACATATGCTGAATTAATTAGACATATTTACCTAGGAATGAAATTATTGGTTTTGGGTGCAAGTTGGTGTTGAGCTTAACCAGGAAGTGCCAAAATATTTCCATCATGACCAAATGTGGCCTGGAAAGTTTTTTGGGGTCAATTTTCCTGTTTCTTCTAAGGAACAAAATTGATGTCACTGATTTTTCTGTCCTGTTTGTCATTTATGAATATACGTACATATGCACGTATATATTTGCTTGCCATTTTATGTTTTTCCTCGACGTTACTTTGGAATTAATTTGCTGATGTGTAGTATTTCTGCAAGCGAAAGTTACCTATTTACTCAGCTCTTCCTTCTTTTCTAACACAGACATTTGAGGCTTATTTTCCTTTAACACTGTTCTATCTGTATCCCCAGTCATTTGCCGAGATGTGTTTTCATTTTTAATTGATACAAAATATTTTCCACCTTTCTTTGAAATGTTTTTCTTCCACTCATTGTTTATTGCTATGTGTGTTTATTAATTTTAAAATATTTGATAATTTCCCCAGCATTTCCTTGTTGTACATTTATAATTTAATTCAACTGTTTCATCTATCATATTACCTATGATTCAGCATTTAAAAATTTATTTTGGTGAATGTTCCAGGGGTGCTAGACAAGTTTGTGGATTAGGAAGATTTGAGGTGGATGTTTTCTAAATGTCAGTTAAGAAAAAAATCATTCAAATGTTTTTCTTTATTTAAAAAAAATAGAGACGGGGTCTCACTATGGTGCCCAGGCTGGTCTCAAACTCCTGGCCTCAAGTGATCCTCCCATTTTGGCCTCCCAAAGTGCTAGGATTATTGAAATTATTAAATGTTTCATATCAACACCCAACCTTATGCACCCGCCGCCTACACAAATGTTTTTCAAGTCTTTCATATGCTTAATAATTTTCTGTGTACTTGTTCTGGAAGTGAGGTGAATGTTGCTATCTCTAGCTGCAATTTGGATGTGATTGATTATGTTTTGAATTATGCCTTTAATTTAATGTGTTTTGAGGTTCCAGCTTTAGGTGTGTAGGCATTTAGGATTATTATGTCTTATTTATGAATTTGCCTCTTTGTCATTATGAAGTACTCCTCTTCATATCTCCATATATCTCTTCTTTGTATGTGCATGGTGAAATATTTCATTCTTTGAGTTAAGAAACTTCTATTGAGGAATACTTTTTATTACAAACATTTACCTATTCTATGTATACAACTGACTAGAAGCATATTTTGCACTGGGCATTATCATGACAATGTAATGTCATTCTTTCAATATTTACATCTTGTGGATTAGTATTTGAAGTGCAGCTTATGTAGACAGCATAAGGTTGGGTGTTGATATGAAACATTTAATAATTGCACACGTATTTGCCTCTTGGGATACTTCCACTTTTTTGAATTTCAAGTTACTAAATGGTATCATTAATCTTTGCTTCAAGAGCTTAACATTTATTGTAGAACAATGCTTCATGTAATAAATTGTGAGACATTTTTAATGGCACCTTTATTGCAGGAAAATGTTTTCCTTTTCAGGTTGAAAGATTCTAGTTTGAAATATTTTCTTGTAGCACTTTAAAAATGTTGGTCCACCTATTTCTTACTTTCATAGTTTTGAATACAAAGTTTGCTGTCATTCTTGTATTTCTTCTTCTGTTTTTTATTTATTTATTTTTGACAGAATATCTTGCCGTCTCACCCAGGCTGGAGTGCAGTGGCATGATCTTGGCTCACTGCAACCTCTGCCTTCCAGGTTTCAGCAATTCCTGCCTCAGCCTCCTGAGTAGCTGGGACTACAGGCATGCGCCACCATACCCAGCCAATTTTTTTTTTTGTATTTTTTTTTTGTAGAGATGAAGTTTTGCCATATTGGCCAGAACTCCTGACCTCAAATGATCCACCTGCTTTGGCCTCCCAAAGTGCTGGGATTACAGGTGTGAGCCACTGTGCTCAGGCTATTTATTCCTTTTTATATAATATGAATTCACATTCATACATACCAGGGGTTAGGATTTCAACAAACGTTTCTGGGGGAGACCACTCAAAACACAGCACTCATCCTTGGTTATTTCCAGCCATGGAGCCTGTATCAATATCCTGGTGAATTATCTAAGCTGTCCACCTACCTACCCCAAATCCTCATGGTCACATAAAAGGCTAGTATAGTATAATAATTTTTCTTTCCCTGCTTATCTACAGTGATGAAGAAACGAATATTCAAAGGGAAAAATCTTAGCTTTAGGTATAGGGTAATTCTTCTTCCTATTTTTAAATAACTTCAACCTTTACTGTAGATTAAAGGTATGCATGCAGGTTTGTTACATAGGCATATTGTGTGACTCTGAGGTTTGTGGTTCCAACAATGCCATCACCCAGGCAATGAGCATAGAATCCAACAGGTGTTTCTTCAGCCTATACCTCCCTACTCCTCCCCCCATCTGTAGTCCTCGGTATCTGTTGTTTCCATCTTTATGTTCATGTGTATTCAATGTTTGGTTCTCAGTTATAAGTGATAACATGTGGTATTTGGTTTTCTGTTCCTGGGTTAGTTCACTTAGGAGATTGACCTCCTGCTACATTCATGTTGCTGCAAAGGACATGATTTCATTATTTTTTATGGCCATGTAATGTTCCATGTGTATATGTAGCACATTTTCTTTAACTAATCCACTGTTGGTGAGCACTTAGGTTGACTGCAAATCTTTGCTATTCTGAATTGCACAGCAATGAATATACTAGTGCATGTGTCTTTTTGACATAGTTAATTACCTTCCTTTTGGTATATACCCAGTAGTGGGATTGCTTGATTGAATAGTAGTTCTATTTTAAGTTATTTGAGAAGTCTCCAAACTGCTTATCACATTGGCTGAACTAGTTAACATTCCCACCAAGAGTGTATAAGTGTTCCCTTTTCTCCACAATCTTGTCAGCATCTGTTATTAAAAAAAACAAAAAACTTTTTAGTAATTGCTTCTGCTTCTCTGATTGTTGTGAGATGGTATCTCACTGTGGTTTTAATTTGCATTTCTCTGATGATTACTGATAATAAGCATTTGTTCATATGTTTTTTGGCCATGTGTACATCTTCTTTTGAGAAGTGTCTGTTCATGTCATACTTAATTGAGGTTTTTTGGTTTTCTGCTTGTTGATTTGTTTACATTCCTTATAGATTCTGGATATTAGAACTTTGTCAGATGCATAGTTTGCAAATATTTTCTCCCAGTCTGTAGGTTATCTGTTTACTCTGTTGATACTTTCGTTTGCTGTGCAGAAGCTCTTCAGTTGAGTTAGGTCCCAATTTCTGTCTTTGTCACAATTGGTTTTGGGGAGTTAGCCATAAATTCTTTGCCAAAGTCTATCTTGAGAAGGATATTTCCTAGGTTTTCTTCTAGAATTTTAATATTTTGAGGTTTTACATTTAAATCTTTAAACTATCTTGGGTTAATTTTTGTATATAGTGAGAGTTAGGGGTCCAGTTCTATTATTTTGCATATGAGTAGTCAGTTATCCCAGAACTATTTATTGAAGAAAGGGTACTTTCCACATTGCTTGTTTTTGTCAATTTTTTCAAAGATGATTGTAGGTATGTAGCCTCATTTCTGGGTTCTCTATTCTGTCTCATTGGTCTATGTGTCTGTTTTTGTAGTAGTATCATGCTGTTTGGGTTACTATAGCATTGTAGTATAGTTTGAAGTTGGGTAATGTGATGCCTGGGCTTTGTTCTTTGTGCTTAGGATTCCTATGTGTATTCAGGCTCTTTTTTTGGTGCCAAATACATTTTAGAATAAATTTTTATAATTTCGTGAAAAATGACATTGCATTTTGAAATGGATAGCATTGAGTCTGCAATTTGTTTTTGGAAGTATGGCGATTTTAACTATTTGTTCTCCTAATTCATGAGCATGGAATATTCTTCCATTTGTTTGTATCATTTCTTATTTCTTTCAGAAGTGTTTTGTAGTTCTCCTTGTAGAGAATTTTCACCTTCTTGGTTAGATGGATTCCTAGGTATTTTATTTTCTTTGTGGCTAGTGTAAATGGAATTGTGTTCTTGATTTAGTTCTCAGCTAGAATGTTAGTGGTGCATAGAAATGTTACTAATTTGTGTACATTTTTTTAATCCCGAAACTTTATTGAATTTGTTTATCAGTTTCAGGAGCCTTCTGACAGAGTCTTTAGGGTTTTCTATGTATAAAATTATTTCATCAGCAAAGAGAGACAGTATCACTACTTCTTTTCCAATTTTAATGCCTTTTATTTCCTTCTCTTGCCTGATTGCTTTGGCTAGGACTTCCAGTACCATGTTGAATTAAAATGGCGGGAGTGGTCATCCTGGTCTTGTTTCGGTTCTCAAGGGGTATGGTTCCAGCTTTTGCCCATCAATATGATGTTGGCTGTGGGTTTGTCATAGATGGCTCTTAATATTTTGAGGTATGTTCCTTTGATGCCTATTGACAGTTTTTATCATGAAGGGATGTTGGATTTTACAGAAAGCTTTTTCTGCATCTATTGAGATGATCATATAGTTTTTGTTTTTAATTATGTTTATGAGGTGAATCACATTCGTTGACTTTGTAGGTTGAACCAACCTTGCATCCCAAAAATAAAGCTTACTTGATCATGTGAATTAACTTTTGATGCACTGACAGATTCAATTTGCTAGCATTTTGTTGAGGATTTTATGTCTATGTTCATTAAGGATATTTAGTTGTAGTTTTCTTTTTTTCATTATGTCTCTGACAGATGTTGGTATCATGGTGATGATGGCTTCATAGAATGAGTTAGGAAGAAGCCCCCACTCCTTGATTTTTTCCAAAAGTTTCAGTAAGATCGGTATCAGTTCTTCTTTGTATGGCTGTTGGATTTTGGCTGTGAATCCATCTGGTCCTGGGCTATTTTTAGTTAGTAGGGTTTTTATTACTGATTAAATTTCTGAACTTGTTATTGGTCTGTTCAGGTTTTCACTTTCTTCCTGGTTGAAATATGATAAATTTTGTGTTACCAGGAATTTATCCATTTCTTCTAGGTTTTCTAGCTTGTTTGTATAGAGGTGTTCATAATAGTCTTTGACGATCTTTTCTATTTCTGTGGGATTGTTCGTAACATTGTTTTGTCAGTTCTATTTGTGTTTATTTGGATCTTTTCTCTTTTTCTTTGTTAATCTAGCTAACAGTCTATGAATTTTGTTTATTTTTTTTCAAAGAAAAACTCTTGGTTTTATTTATCTCTTGTATGGACTTTTTGGTCTCAATTTATTCAGTTCTCTCTGACTTTAGTTATTTCTCATCTTTTGCTGGCCTTGGGTTTGGACTGTTCCTTTTTTTTAATAGTTCCTCTAGATGCAGTGTTAAGTCACTAATTTGAGATCTTTCTAAACTTCTGATGAGGCATGTATTGCTATAAATTTTCCTCTTATCACTGCTTTAACTGCATCCCAAAGGTTTTGGTAAGTTTGTTTCTATTTTTATTAATTTTAAATAATGTTTTGTGATTTCTGCTTTAATTTCATTGTTCACCCAAGAGTTCTCAAGGGGTACAGTTCCAGCTTTTGACCATTCAATATGATGTTGGCTGTGGATTTGTCATAGATGGCTCTTAATATTCATTCAGAAACAAGTTGTTAAATTTCCATGTTTTTCTGTAGTTTTGAGAGATCATCTTGGTATTTTTTTCTATTTTTATTGTGTGCCTTGTTATGATTTTGATTCTTTGAATTTATTGAGACTTGCTTTGTGGCCAGTCTTAGAATATGATATGTTTTTTGTGTGTGCAGATAAGAAGAATCTATATTCTGCAGTTGTTGGGTGGAGTACTCTGTAGATGTCTATGAGGTCCAATTGGTCAAGTGTTGTCTTTAAGACCAGAATTTCTTTGTTAGTTTTCTGTTTTAGTGATTCATCTGACGTTGTTAGTGGGATACTGAAGTCCCTTACTATTATTGTGTGGCTGTCTAACTCTTTTCATAGGTGAAGAATAACTTGTTTTATGAATCGGGGTGCTCCAAATTTGGGTGCATATATATTTAGAATAGTTAAGTCTTCTGTCAAATTGAACCCTTTATCATTTTGTAATGCCCTTCTTTGTCCTTCCTGATTGCTGTTGATTTAAAGTGTGTTTCATGTGATATAAGAATAGGAATGCCTTCCTTTTTTTTGTTTCCTGGTTGCCTAGTAAATATTTCTTCATCCTTTTACTTTGAGCCTGTGGGTGTCATTACATGTGAGATGGGTCTCTTGAAGACAGCAGGCAGTTGGCTCTTGGCTTTTTATCCACGTTGCCACTCTATGCCTTTTATGTGGGGAATTTAGGCCATTTACATTTCTTCTCCTGATATATCCTTTTTATATTTTTATGATTGCCTTTTAAAATATATTGAATGGTTGTAATTCCAGGGAAATGTCTTTCAGAACAGTATTTATTCCCATCTACATGTTTTGGAGAGTGCACTAGGGGACATTGAAGTTTATTTCCTGAAAAGAGTTTAATTTTAAAATGTATTTTATTTAATAACTCAATGATTCAGGGAATGTCTAGGTATTTCAGAGATTGTTTTAGACAGTTTGTTTTCTTGTGATATGTGACCACTTCATCTAAGCTGAATAATGTCTTCATAATGTCCACTTAGAATCTTTTGAATTCTGTAGGATCTGTACTGATGTCATTGTTTCCTTTCTGATATTGGTAATTTTCCTGGGGTAGGATTCTTAGCTCCTCCTGAGGTCCTGCCTCTAAAATTCAGGGAACAATGAGTCAGATTAGTACTCTGATTTCAAAGGGAAAGCTGATCATCTACCATTTTTTGTTTATGTAAATGGACACATTAACATCCCTTGTCTGAACCTTAGTTACCTTGTTTGGAGCATTTTGCTATAAATCTCACTTCTCAGAGTGGTTGTGGGGCTTGATGTGGCTGGGGTATGGGATGGCTTAAACATAATTTATTTCCAGACCAGGTTAAGGCATGAAGGGGTTGGGACTTGTTAGAATCCTGTTGTCGGACTCCACAGTAAGGGTAGACATTTGAGGCACCCAATCAAAAACCTCAGTTGTTCCTAGCACTGAGAAATTTGATAGAATGTTTCTAAAACATTATTCATGGTCTAATGCACAAAAAGTAAAGTGATAGCCCTGGAAGTAGACAGGGAACCATAAGAAAAAAGAGAGAGCAAAGCTCAGTGGTCACCAGTGCCTGGGACCATCAAGGGGTTATTAAGGAGGAAGTTTCCACCTCTGTGGGGAACAGAAGAGGCTCCCTAGGGTCCACACACACAGGGAGTGAGCCAAGACTCTGGGCGAGGCTGGAAGCTCTGGGTCTCCTTCTGTGAGATTTTCTTTTTTTTTTTTGAGATGGAGTCTTGCTCTGCCACCCAGGCTAGAGTGCAACGGCGCGATCTCGGCTCATGGCAACCTCTGCATAAAGTGGTATGTATTTAAGGCATGCATTAGACAAATTACTAAGTATTTACTAGATAAGAAAAAATTATATCTGAATCTTTTCAAATTGCCGTCTTATGCATTATATTCTCTTTTTATAGTGCAATTTCTTAATAGTTAATGCCAGAAGATTTTTTTTTCTTCCTTTCTTTCTTTCTTTTTTTTTTTTTTTTGAGACAGAGTCTCACTCTGTTGCCAGGCTGGAGTGCAGTGGCACGATCTCGGCTCACTGCAACCTCCGTCTCTCGGGTTCATGCCATTCTCCCGCCTCAGCCTCCTGAGAAGCTGGGACTACAGGCACCCTCTACCATGCCCAGCTATTTTTTTTTTTTTTTTTGTATTTTTAGTAGAGACGGGGTTTCACCATGTTCGCCAGGATGATCTCTGTCTCTTGAACTCGTGATCCACCTGCCTTGGCTTCCCAAAGTGCTGGGATTACAGGCATGAGCCACTGCACCTGGTCGCCAAAAGATATTTTTAAAAACCTAAATGCCACTTGAAATGAATAAGACCCTCAATAATTCATGGGATATACATGTGAACTTATGACATATGATGAAATAAGCAGGTTACAAAATTGTAATATATCAAGCAAGGTAGAAAGCCATGGCAGAAAAAGAGACAAGCATTTTCAAGATAAGGAATGAAAGAGGGGAAACAGTACTATTGATTTTACAGATTTTACAAAGATATCTTAGGTGTGTTTTCCTAAATAATAAATGTACCCTCCTTTTGACCTTTATGTAATGAAATAACCATGCACACATTTTCAAATAATACTTCATTTACTTGACTTTATGCTTGAAAATTGAAGTATGGTGCTGTTTGTTATTTTCATTTATGCATTTTACTACCTTGTAATATTCCACTGAGTCTATTTACCACACTATGTTTATTTTTTTCGTAGGTGGACTTTGGTATTTTATAGCTTTGGCTAATAGGAACAGCATTCCTATAACAGTTGTGAGTGTATCATGACACATAAGTAGACATTTATCTCTAGGGTACATAATTAAGTACATAATTAAGAAGGGTCACAGCCATGTGCCTCCTCTTTTTAACTAGATAATTCCAATACACTTCCTTAATTGATTAAAGCAATTTGTACTCTTACTATTAATGTACTAAAATTCTACATGTTCAATATTCTTTCCAAAAAATGATTTTGCTACTTTTTTCTTTTCTTGAGACTGAGTCTTGCTCTATCACCCAGGCTGTAGTGATCTCGGCTCACTGCAACCTCCGCCTCCTGGGTTCATGCGATTCTCGTGCCTTGGCCTCCCAAGTAGCTGGGATTACAGGCAGGCGCCACCATGTCTGGCTAATTTTTGTATTTTTAGTAGAGACAGCGTTTCACCATGTTGGCCAGGCTGGTCTCGAACTCCTGACCTCAGGTGATCCTCCTGCCTCGGCCTCCCAAAGTGTTGGGATTACAGGCATGAGCCACCACACCCGGCCTATTTTTTTCTTTTCCCTCCATTGTGCTATGATTTTTGACATTACAATTTTACTGAAACTACACCATAAGAATGAAGCAGAAATTATTATAACCTTTAAATAAACTTTACAACTGGTTCATACTCGTGTGAACGACAATTCTTTTGACTACTTCCCAACTGTGCATTCAATGGCGTCATATGGGCACCCTGAAGTTGGCCATAAAGGACGTATTTATACCACACTAATCAGCAAATACCATAAATCTGGGGCTTTATATGTTCAGAGTTTTCTTAAGAAAATAATTTTTTCAGAGAGCCAGTTTAACAGAATACCATGAGGCTGAGCCTTCGAGCGTTAGTGTGCTCATTCTGAGAGATGATATTTCTGGACAAAGTACACAGGTATCATCCGATGAAGAGTGAAGGGAATTCAGGGTCCAGAGAGGGTGCTAGGGCATCATTTCAGACTCATATTTCCCTTTTTTTTTTTTTTTTTGGAGATGGAGTCTTGCTCTGTTGCCCAGGCTGGAGTGCAGTGGCAAGATCTTGGCTCACTGCAACCTCCGCCTCCCGGGTTCAAGCTATTCTCCCGCCTCAGCTTCCTGAGCAGCTGGGATTACAGGTGCTCACTGCCACACCCAGCTAATTTTTGTATCTTTTAGTAGAGACAGGGTTTCACCATGTTGGCCAGGTTGGTCTCGAACTTCTGACCTCAAGTGATCCGCCCACCTCAGCCTCCCAAAGTGCTGGGATTACAGGTGTGAGCCACTGTGCCTGGCCTCAGACTCATGTTTCAAAGTCCCAAATACAAATCTGCCCACCTATTCCAGTTATTTAATCCAGATCTATGCTCAGAACTGAAAAGATGGAGAATCAATAGTTCACTTTAGAGAATGCGGTAGTTGGAAACAAAGACAAATGTATTACATGACAGTGGACCAGAGCACGTGATCGCAGGGGTGTGGATGCAAACCCACCATGGGGGACGTGCCTTCACATCACAGAGAGCGAAAGGAAGGGAGGGGCAGACACGGAGGATCCACAACAGCAGGACTGAAAGCACTGCCATTTAATGGAAGTTTAATGGAGGAAGCGTTCTCTACAGGCACCCAGACATCTTCCTGAACCTGACCCAAGCCTCCCCTTCTCGACTTTCTCAGTAGACGGTTTCCCGAATGATGGTCCAGACTTTCTTCCAGAACCTCCTAGGACTATCAGATTCATTGCCAAGGCTCTGGCACTCTGAAGGGTGCATTGTTCTCTCATGTATTTACCTCCTTGCTGCATCTTGGGGACTTCTCTAGCTGTGCCAGTCCTAAAGCAGCAGAATCCCGAGGACCACCAGGACCAAGCCAGCCACAGCCACGCGGATGAGATTCTCCACTGTGTAATCCTGGGGGTGTGAGGCTGGGGATGGTGGACCAAGAGGTCTCAGAGGTCAGGGCAGATCAACATCACCCGGGACCCCTGGATGTCCACCCAGGGCACCCACCTCCCCTTCACAGGACCTGACCCTCTGTGCCAGCCCCATAACCGAGAGCATCTCCTTACACACCAGTCTTGGAGTCTGTCTTGTTTTGCGATGGGCTGAGGGTCTCAGCTGCTCCTGAGAATCAACCAAAAAAGGGGGAGGTGTGTGAGGAGTTGAAGAGACTTAAGCCAACATGTCCCTCAGTTGCTGCATTCCTTTGTGTCTACACTTCTCCTAACTGCTCTGTAGTTGTGTGATAGAACCTTTCCCTGCCGTGGCAGAGGTACATTCGCATACATACATACATATATGCATAGGTGTAAATATGTGTGTATACATAATATGTGTTATGCATATGTGTATACATAATATGTATTATGCATATGTGTATAGATAATATGTATTATGCATATGTGTATGCATAATATGTATTATAAGATATAGTGTGAGTATATATAAATATATAATATATAAGATATATAATAGTGTGTGTATACATATAAATATATAATAAGATATGTAATAGTGTGTGCATATATAAATATATAATATATAATAAGATATATAATAGTGTGTATATATAAATATATAATACATAATATATTATAAGATATATAATAGTATGTATATATAAATATATAATACATAATATATAAGATATATAATAGTGTGTGTATATATAAATATATAATACATTATATATTATAAGATATATAATAGTATATATAAATATATAGTACATAATATATAATAAGATATATAATAGTGTGTGTATACATATAAATATATAATAAGATATGTAATAGTGTGTGCATATATAAATATATAATATATAATAAGATATATAATAGTGTATATATATAAATATATAATACATAATATATTATAAGATATATAATAGTATGTATATATAAATATATAATACATAATATATAAGATATATAATAGTGTGTGTATATATAAATATATAATACATTATATATTATAAGATATATAATAGTATATATAAATATATAGTACATAATATATAATAAGATATATAATAGTGTGTGTATACATATAAATATATAATAAGATATGTAATAGTGTGTGCATATATAAATATATAATATATAATAAGATATATAATAGTGTATATATATAAATATATAATACATAATATATTATAAGATATATAATAGTATGTATATATAAATATATAATACATAATATATAAGATATATAATAGTGTGTGTATATATAAATATATAATACATTATATATTATAAGATATATAATAGTATATATAAATATATAATACATAATATATAATAAGATATATAATAGTGTGTGTATATATAAATATATAATACATAATATATATTATAAGATATAATAATGTGTGGGTAATATAAATATATAATACATAATATATAAGATATATAATAGTGCATATATAAATATATAATACATAATATATATTATAAGATATAATAATGTGTGGGTATATATAAATATATAATACATAATATATATTATAAGATATAATAATGTGTGGGTATATATAAATATATAATACATAATATATAAGATATATAATAGTGTATATATAAATATATAATACATAATATATATTATAAGATATATAATAGTGTGTGAGTATATATAAACACATACATATATATTTGAAGTGAGAAGAGTATTATATAATTTAGAAACAAACAAGTTTGTCCTCCATTTTCTTGTGGTTAATGTAATTATTATCAATAAATCAGAAGAGATCATTTCGGAAAGGATTGAAAGGGAGTGTGTCTGTGGTAAGTTAATAGGAACTAAAATTAGCATACCCAAACCAATAGCTTTCTCATCCATACGTAACTAATTTTAGAAAATAGAAAGGAATCAAAGACTTTCAAATTATTCAAGTAGTAAAACAATGCTTAAAATTCACAATGTCCACAATTTTTATGAATACAACTTCAAGCATCTGCTAACTGTATAAAGTTTAATTTTAAATGTATTGGATACAAAGACATTATTAATGAGAAGTTATTCTCCATCATGAATGCACATATTTAATTTAATCCCAAAGAAAATCAGAGCACAGTTATTTTACATCATAACGCTACCTAACAAATTAAATGTGTAAATTATAAATGCCAGCATTGCTTTGAAATCTTCAGAAACAGAAAGAGAAACTAGATATGTGGACATAAAAAATAAAGGACAGAAAGGAATTGCACACGAGGTTTGCTGTTGAATAATTTGCCTGCATTGCTGCAGTGAGCAGGTGCATGATCTCCCCTTCGTCTCAGGTATGCACTGAGTATTTTGGGGCCGCCAGGGGAGCCCAGGTGGGGAGTGGGTGGGGCCTCCATCTTCTACCCTCAGCCTAAGCATGATTCCTCCAAGGTTTCTCCATATCTCATTTCAGCCCTCCCTGGCCTTTAGCCCCATCTGAGGTCTCTGGGGTGGGAGCCCAGGATTAGGAGGTCCCTGACTATTTCCACCCTCTCATGGGCTGGGCCCTCCCCTGCCGACCCTCCCCCTTTACTCCCCTCTTTCCTTAGCGTCCTGAGCTCTCCTGGGGGCAGGGCCTGAGCTGAGGTTTGAGCTCAGAGAGGACAGGGTCAGCGGCCTCACCTGAGACCACGAGCTCCAGGGGGTCACTGGGGTGAGACAGCAGGTAGGGGAAGAATCTGCGTGAGCTGTAGCACCTGTAGGTCCCCGCGTGGGCTGAGGTCACAGGACTCATGGGGAATTCAGCCTGGTGCTGCTGAGCTTGGTGCTCTGATCTCAGACGCAGTGGGTGATGGGCTGCCCCCTCCTTGGTCAGAAGGAAAGTGTCCAACTGCTCCCGTGACTGACACAGCAGGGTCACGTTCTCTCCTGAGGCCACCGTGGGGCCCGGCTGCACCGAGAGGGAGGGTCTGCCACGGATCTGTCCTGGAGAGAAGAAGGATGGGTGAGGGGCTGCCCCACCTCGTTCTGAGCTGACACCTCCCCAGGCCTCTCCCTGGGACCCTCAGTGTCTCTGTCTCTGTTTTCTCTGAGTCTCCCCCTCCCCGCCCATCCCCTGTCTCTGTCTGTCTCTCCGTCCCTTAGGACCCCCACCCCTCATCCCGGCCATCACCACCTGGGCTCCCCCAGCAGGGCCTGTGCGGAGCCTGGGTCCCTGACTGAACCTGCTGGGCTCCTCACCTGCGATCAGGATGCTCAGGGGGTCACTGGGGGCCGACCACTCGGAGGAGAGGTTGTGTGCACCGTAGCATCTGTACTGGCCCCCGTGGGAGACCCTCACAGGGCCCAGGGTGAAGTTGGCCTGGGAGAGCCCAGCCTGGGGCTGCCGGCCAGAGCCCTGGACGAGGTCATGTCCCCCCTCCTTGTACAGAGTGAATTTGTCATAGCCGACATCAGAGCCACACTGGAGGGTCAGATTCTCCCCAGGGGCCACGACAGGGCCCTGCAGGGTCAGGAGGGAGGGCTTCCTAGACACGCCTGGAGGGAAAGAAGAGTCGGGACTAGGAGGGCTGGTTCCTCCCACACCCCTTCCTTCTCCCCTCCTGGCCCTGCAGGTCTCACTGTCTCTCACACTCAGTGTCTCTGGGCTCAGGAGTCCCAAACTTCCCTTGTTCCACCCTCCTACATGGGGCTCCGTGAGAGTAAGTTCTCAAAAATAAATAGGGCAAGGAGGAAGACATCCATACCTAAGACCAGGATCTCCATGGTATCACTGGGTTCCGACCACACCCAGGGGAAGTTCGTGTAATGCCCATAGCATCTGAACATCCACCGGTGACTGGCAGCCACACGGCCCACAGGGAACAGGGCCAGGGACAAGGGACAGCCCCTTGGAGAGTTCCTGTGAGTCCAGCATCCAGGAGAGCTTGTTTTCTCCTTCCTCAATCAAAATGAACCTGTGAAATCCCACCCTTGAGCTACACTGGATGGTCACGTTCTCTCCTGAGGTCACCACAGGGCTCGGCAGGGCTGAGAGAGTGGGTTTTCTGTGGGCTCCTAGGAGAGAAGGAGACACTGTCTTAAATGGGGCTCACGCGTCCCACATCATCCCCCAGGGCTGAGTTATTAGAACGGAGATGCCCTTGAGAGCTGACCCCCTTCCTGCAGGCAGAGCCTGGGGCTGGGACCCCTGAGTGTCCTCTTACCTGTCACCACCAGCTCCAGGGGCTCGCTGCGCTCTGACCAGCCTGCAGGGCTGAGATAGTGACAGTGGTATCTCCCTGCATGGTGCTCTCTCATGGATGGGATGAAGAAGTTGGTCTTGTTCCTGGGCTCTGGTGGGCTCTGTTGGTACCAGGTCATGGGGTTTCCTTCCTTGGTGAGATAGTAACCCTGGGTATCCAGGGTCCCCTGGCACCAGAGGGTCATGGGGCTCTCCCAGGTAATCACAGAGCCTGGCTCAGCCCAGAGGCTGGGTTTGGGGAGGGTCCCTGGAAGAAACCACAGGCTGGGGTCCACAGACCTCCCCCGCTCCTCATTCCCAGCTCAGGTCACAGACCCTCTTGATTTTCTCACCCTCAGTTCAGAAGCCCCTGAGATGAGAGTCCAGGTGCTGAGTGTGAGGTCAGGCATGGGAGGTTAGCAGAGACTCACCTGCAAGTGCTTGGGCTTTCTGGCCCAGACTCAGCCATGGAGAAGAGTTTCCTGTGGGGGATTTGGAACACAGAGGTGTGGCTGCTTCCCTTCCTGTTGGAGCACCAGTAGCCACTGGAGCCCTGAGGCTCTCTGGTGAACAAGGCTGCTGTGGGACCCTCCCCACCTCAGCCCAGTGCCCCTCCTGTCCCTCGTCTCTCCACCACTGACTGAGGCACAGAAGAACAGTGAGGATGGACACCATGATGCCTGCTCTGCGTGCTCCAGCTGTGGGACAGGTGACCACATGGCCCTCCATGACAGACAGATGCACGGATGTGGTTAAGTCAGAGCCTGCTGCCGCCTGCCTGGGTCCCCACAGCTGTGAACCCACAGGAAGTGGACAGCCCCTTGCTGGGCCTGTCTCTTATTCCCCCCCCAGTGCAGGGGCTCAGGAGGACCCAGGCCCTCTGCACACATCTCAGCCCAGACCTGAGGTGTCCCCTGATTGCCAGGGATCCTTTGTCTGAAAACCTGCCCGTGGAGGGTGGACCCAACATCATATCTATGTCAGCTCCCAACTTAGCTGGGTCTAAACTGAAAACACAGCCCTTATTTTCTCAGAGCCTCCACTCATGACATCGGCTTTCTTTTTCCCCACTGATGCAAAGACAAATATTTCCCAGCAGAAAGTCATCCTGATCTGGAGAGACCCATTTCCTGCGTTCAGTAAATAAAGTCAGTTTCATTAGGGGAGGCTCTGGGAAAATAAGGGGATGCAGACTAGCAGAAGATGAACATTTAGCTACTTGTTTCTCAATTAATTGATTTATTACCAAAGAGAGAGAAGTGGAAACATGAGAATAGGGACCATGACTAGAATGTGGTTGAGGGAATGGTTTCTATCTTATTCCCTGGCAGAGAACTAAGGGATAAGAATGAGAAAGCTGGCTGGGTGCAGTGGCTTACACCTGTAATCCCAGCACTTTGGGAGGCCGAGGCAGGAAGATCACAAGGTCAGGAGTTCAAGACCAGCCTGACCAACATGGTGAAACCCCTGTCTCTACTAAAAATACAAAAACTAGCTGGGTGTGCTGGCATGCGCCTGTAATCCCAGCTACTAGGGAGGCTGAGGTGGGAGAATCGCTTGAACCTGGGAGGTGGAGCTTGCAGTGAGCCGAGATCGCGCCACTGCACTCCAGCCTGGGCAACAAAGCCGGACTGTCTCAAAAAAAAAAAAAAAAAAAAAAAAAAAGAAAGAGAGAAAACCCAGCAGTGAGAGGTAGTTGTGAGAACACACTAAAGAGGAAAGATAATCCAGGGCTGGGAGTGGTGGCTCATGCCTGTAATTCCAGCACTTTGGGAGGCTGAGGCTGGCAGATCACAAGGTCAGGAGTTCGAGACCAGCCTGACCAACATGGTGAAACCCTGTGTCTACTAAAAATGCAAAAATTAGCTGGGTGTGGTGGTGGGTGCCTGTAATCCCAGCTACTCAGGAGGCTGAGGTGGGAGAATCGCTTGAACCCAGGAGACGGAGGTTGCAGTGAGCTGAGATTGCACCACTGCACTCCAGCATAGGCAACAAAGCCAGACTCTGCCAAAAACAAAAACAAAAACAAAAACAAAAACAAAAAACAAGAAAGCTCAGTGAGAGGTGGTTGTGAGAACACACTAAAGAGGAAAGATCATTCAGGGCTGGGAGTGGTGACTCACGCCTGTAATCCCAGCACTTTGGGGGGCCACAGGCGGGTGGATTACCTGAGGGCAGGAGTTCAAGACCAGTCTGGCCAACATGGTGAAACCTCGTCTCTACTAAAAATACAAAAACTAGCTGGGTGTGATGGCGGGTGCCTGTAATCCCAGCTACTTGAGAGGCTGAGTCAGGAGAATCTCTTGAACCCAGGAGGCAGAGGTTGCAGTGAGCTGGGATCGTGCCACTGTACTCTAGCCTGGGTAACAGAGCAAGGCTCTGTCTCAAAAAAATAAAAATTAGAAAGAAAAAAGGAGAAGGAGAAGAGGAAGGAGACAGAAAGGAGAGAAACATCCCTGAGGTGGAACATTACATGCAACATGGAGTAGGCAGGGAATCCGATAGAGCACTGAAACTCTCGCTGGGTACGGTGGCTAACATCTGTACTCCCAGCACTTTGGGTGGCCGAGGTGGATGGATCACCTGAGGTCAGGAGTTTAAGACCAGCCTGACCAACATGGTGAAACCCCATCTCTACTAAAAATACAAAAGGCTGGGTGTGGTGGCTCACGCCTGTAATCCCAACACTTTGGCAGTCTGATACAGGCGGATCACATGAGATCAGGAGTTTGAGACCAGCCTGGCCAAGATGGCAAAACCTCATCTCTACTAAAAATACAAACATTACCTGGCTGTGGTGGCAGTCGCCTGTAATCCCAGCTATGCAGGAGGCTGAGGCAGGAGAATCGCTTGAACCTGAGAGGTGGAGGTTGCAGTGAGTCAAGATCGTGCCATTGCACTCCAGCCTGGCCAATAGGAGCAAAACTCCATGTGAAAATAAAATAAAATAAAATAAAATATAATAAAATAAAATAATAAATCAAAAAAGGACTGGACATCTCCTGTGGGTTGTCAGTGAATGGAACTAAGCAAGCCACCGCTCTTTCCCTTTTGTCCCGCAAGTGTCTTTCTTGGCCTCCAGGAAGTGAGTTCCATCATGTCAGACCCTATGTTTGTTCCTGCTGGGTTCACTGAGGCTCCTCCCTTTCCACCTGTGGCTCCCCATGGGTTCCCAGTCCCCAGCCAGTGTTGTGAATCGAGCCAGGAAGACCAGCCCTATCACACCCCTCCTGATGGAATTCCCACAGTGTCATCCTGGAGAACAGGGGCTGGGGGCTGGGGTAGGATCAGAGACCTTTTCATGTGGGCCAGGCCCCTCCCTCCACAGGAGCTCTGACACGAAGCTCATCACCATTCATTTCACCCTGACGATATTCTTCCTGCCCAGACACCCCCGTTCTCCCTATGTCATCATGGGCACCTCAGTGAAATCCATGGTTGAGGGTCTCTGTCACTTACTCTGCCCTCTTCTTGGAAAATTTCCTTGGATCCTTCCAGAGCCCTTCCTGAGTGTGCTGCAGGGTCTCTGCCACATGACACACTCTCAGGAACCCTCATCCTCCCCTTAATCTACTGCGCCCACATAGCCAGGTGCAGGCTCCGTTTCTTCATCTTCCCTTCCCCACAGGCCCCGATGGAGAGTGGATTAGACTCGCTCCTGAGTAGGGACTCAGGTCACTCTGACCCCTTCCTCCCTGTGGACGAGGCCTCTGTCCCAGAGCTTTGGAGGCTGAAGGGCCTTGTGGATTCCCGCACTGGCCACAGTCTCCGATGCAGATGGGGAACTGGGGACCTGGGAGGGGTTGCCTAGCCCAAGGCCACATAGCTGGGCGGTGGCACAGCCTTCACTCACACAGGGACATTCCATCTTCCCAGGGACTTCACACTGGAGGCTAAGAGCCCCACTTTGCACACCACATTCAGGGGTAGATTCTGTGTGTGACTAACAAGTTCTCTTAGGGTTCCGAGGTAACAGGACAGCAAATGGATGAGTGAGAGTTTCCCTCACCCCACTGAAGTAGGACCATTCTCTGTGGAGGGTTGGTCCCCTGACTTCCTCTACTCTGTCATCTCCCTAGTGACTGATAGGGGTCCTGGGGTCTCTTCCCTGGAATCCCATGAGGGACAATTCCTTTCCTGAAGGGAAGGTATAGAGAGGACTAGCAGGTGCCTGGTGATGGAAAGTCCCCATAATCAAGAGACATTGCCTCCCCCCCCCGGCATGATAAATATCTGGGTTTCCAAATGGGAAATCTGTCTGTGATGAGAGCTCAGGAGGGGCTTCTGGAAGATGGAAAAGGGCTAGAGGCTGAGGCCACTGCTTATCTCCCCACACTGTATCTGGCTTCACCTCCTGTGTTTGTCCTGACCTCTTCCTTCACTCACCTGGATAAGTAGGACCCCAAAGTGGGCCTCCAGACAGGAAGCAGTGGAGAGTGTGGAGCTGCCCTGTCTACCACCCTACACCCTGACACCACTGTCATACTCAACCTCTCTTTTCCTCTTTGTGTTTCTCATTGCTTCATTTTGTCTGGAATCCCTAAGATTCCCATGTCTCCAGCAGGCTGTCCCTCAGACGTGGCTATATGATTTAGTGTTTCACAGGGCATGCAGCAGGCATGGGCTACCCCCAGTAACAGTGGTCATCTAGGGCTGATCACTCACAGGCAGAGCCATCGACAGAGAGCTGCAGCATCTAGAGGTCCCATCACCAGCCCCAAGACCCAGAGAGAAGTTGGCCTGAATGCCCCACTCTGTCTCTGCACCCCAGTGAGCCAGTGTCCAGGGGCCTTACCTTCCTCGTTAGAAGGCACAGGTCAAATGAGCTTCCAGAGCTGCAGAGCAAAGTCACATTCTCTCCATCATTACTTACTGCAGGGCACAGTTGAGCTGAGAAGGAAGGTCTCTTGTAGACGCCTGGGGAAAAAAATAGTCCTTGACTGTCGAGCACAAGCCTTACCCAGCCTATCCTCAGGGCATGAAAAAGGCATTCTCTCCACCTGTTCTGGGGAGCACACTCTGTTACCCACTCGTGCCTCTCTCCATCTCAGTTCTAGCTCTACAAGCTGGCTCATCATGTGTGTGTTTTCCTGTCTGTCTTTGCTCAGCTTTTCCTTGAATCTCTTGCTTTTTGCCGGTGCGTGTGTGGCTTTCTGCCCTTAGAACCATATGAGATTTAGGGTTCTCCTGGCACATAGAACTGTTTACTTTGAGGACCCTCAGAAAACATAGCCCTGGGCTAAGGCTCCCTGTCCTGGAACTAGAAGGTTATGGGTGTCACCATTTCCCAACAGCATGTCTGAAAGTGCCAGAATCTTCAAAGAGTCTGCAACATGTTTGTAGGATCTTTATAGGGTCTGATATTGCAGGGACCAACCAAAGTGCCCTCACACCCCAAGACGCTGGAAGTGACCCCTTGCTGAAAGTGGTTGGAAGTTTCACATAGAAGTTTGAGTTAAGCCACATTGCTGAGCAATGCCTCAGCATCCCAGTCTTCATCCAGACCTTCCAGGAGCCTGGCTGGAGGGGGTGTCTCTGGTGTGTCACTGAGCCTTATAGCAGAGGAAGGGGGCTATGGTGGAAACTACCTCCAAGATACCACTCAGTCCTAAGCTGGGGAACAAGCTGAGCTTGGATTCTGGTAGTGAATGAACCGGGAAACATTTATTTGAAGGGTTCTAAGAGTAGCATCGTGTGGGTGCGTTAATTGTATGTGAAGGGGAAGATCCTGAGAAAACAAGAGCTGCTCCACTCTGTGCCTGGGTTTACCAGAGGGACCGATGAGGTCCTCACAAGACCCAGGAATCCCACCGGGGGAAGGAGGCTTAGGGAGATGTGTTTAAGACTGTTAAGTGAGTCACAGACAGAAGCAGATCAAGCCATCCCACCACCTAGGTTTGTGGTTTTGTTTCTCCTAAACTTCCTTTCTGTAAGTAGCAGAACCTTCTCATCACCATCCTTCAAAACCTCTGCATTGTTTGAGCTCCTTGTATTTTCTGGAGATTAATCTCTTGCTTGCAAATATTCTTTCCCATTCTGTAGGTGGTCTCTTCACTCTGCTGTTTGTTTCCTTGATTGTGCAGAAGGTTTGCAGTTTGCTATGATCTCATTTGCCTATTTTTGCTTTTGCTGCCTGAGCTTTTGAGGGTTTTTTTTTTTTGTTTTTTTTTTTGAGACGGAGTCTCGCTCTGTCACCCAGGCTGGAGTTCAGTGGCATGATCTCAGCTCATTGCAACCTCCGCCTCCCGGGTTCAAGTGATTCTCCTGCCTCAGCCTCCCTAGTAGCTAGGACTACAGGCGAGTGCCACCACACCCGGCTAATTTTTGTATTTTTAGTAGAGGCAGGGTTTCACCACGTTTGGCCAGGCTGGTCTCAAACTCCTGACTTCAAGTGATCCACCCACCTTGGCCTCCCAAAGTGCTGGGATTACAGGCGTGAGCCACTGCGCCCGGCGTTGTATTGGATTTTTAATTCAGCCCTATTTTCTCCGACATTTGATATTGGCATTTTTGTCTTTTTTGGATATGCTAGGATCATGGTGTCATAATTTAATTTTAATTTTTATTTTTATTTTAAGTTCCGGGGTACATGTGCAGAATGTGTGGGCTTATTGCATAGGTCAATGTGCGCCATGGTGGTTTCCTGCACCTGTCAACCCATCACCTAGGTATTAAGCCCAGCATACATTAGCTATTTTTCCTAATGCTCTCCCTACCCCTACCCCACCCCCCCCCCGACAGGCCCCAGTGTGTGTTGTTCCCCTCCCTGTGTTCACGCATTCTCATTGTTCAGCACCCACTTGTAAGTGAGAACATGCAGCGTTTGATTTCCTGTTCCTGTGTTAGTTTCCTGAGGATAATGGTTTCCAGCTCCATCCATGTCCCTGCAAAGGACATGATCTTGTTTCTTTTTATGGCTTCATAGTATTCCGTGGTGTATATGTCTCACATTTTCTTTATCCAGTCTATCATTGATGGGCATTTGGGTTGATTCTATGTCTTTGCTATTGTGAATAGTGCTGCGATGAACACATGTGTGCATGTATCTTTGCAATAGAATGATTTATATTCCTTTGGGTATACGCGCAGTAATGGGACTGCTTTTACCTGTGCCAAAATACTGAAGTAGAAATGATTATTCACTCTAAAATGGAAGGTAATAAGATGTATACGTGAGCTATCAGATGCCTGGTGCTTATGAGTGAAGACAAGTCTGTCCAACGCTTCCCAACCCTGCATTCAGGGATGTCTCGTTGGCATCTTGATTATGGCCATGAAAAAAGAATTTACGTCAAGGAAATTGGTAAATGCCACTAATCATAGCATTTCAAAAAATGTCTTTTTCAGAATTAGCATACCATTGGGTCGTGACTTCAAATGCCAGTGTGTTGATTCCAGGTGGTGATATTTCAGGAGAAACTACACAGATAGCATCTGATAAGGAGGGAAGAGCTCATAGGGTCCACACAGGAGGTGAGGGCATCACGGTGCATTTATCTTTTCCTGGTCGGACTCTGATCTTCTCCCGTTGAATTAGTTCCTAAACCAGGTGCGGAACTCTGAACTGAAGACATGAAGACCCAGTAAAGTACACCAGGAAGTGTGGCAATGAGAAATGAAGAGGACTGTGTGACACGCCATGGACCAGAGCATGCAGGTGTGCAGAGGTGTGGACCCAACGCTGCCATGTGGGATGGAGCCTCATGTCTAAGTGTGGGAAAAGAGGCAGATCCAACCAAGGAAAGTCAACATTAATGGAGAGGAAAGGTATCACATTTTAATGGTTCTCCATGGATCACCCCAGAAAATGTCCCTGCACTCGGACATTGATTCCTTCCTCTGGAAATGACCAGCAGACAGTCCAGATAGCATCGGCCCTAGATTTTCTTCCAGAACCTCCTGGGATCATCAGATCTGTTCCTGAGGCTTCACGACTCTATAAAGTACATTATCCTCTCTGCTGTTCACCTCCCGGCTGCATCTTGGGAAGCTTCTCTGGCTGTGCCAAGCCTCAAATGACAGAATCCCGAGGACCACCAGGATCAAGCCAGCCACGCCCATGTGGATGAGATTCTCCACTGCGTAATCCTGAAGGTGTGAGGCTGGGGATGGTGGACAAAGAGGTCACAGAGGTCAGGGTGGATCAGATTGTCCACCCAGGGCACCCACCTCCCCTTCACAGGACCCAACCCTCAGTGCCAGCCCCATCACTGAGAGTATCTCCTCACATACCAGTCTCAGAGTCAGACTTGTTTTGTGATGGGCTGAGGGTATCAGCTGCTCCAGAGAATCAAAACAGAGAAAAAGAGACCTGAGCCCAGCCTCTCACCTGGGCTCTGCAATTTTTTTTTTATTACTTAATGTCTCATGATGTGACTTTTACAGAATTTCTAAAAAAAAAAAAAAAAAACCTCTTCCTCCGCTAGCAGGATTCCCTCTAGTCTCCTCATTGAACGATTTCAGTTTTCCTGTGTTCTATGGATTTAAACATTGCTCCTGAGTCATCTGGGAGAGAGTTTTCCTGCATCCTGAGAGCTCAGGATCTGCAAGGAAAGTGGTCCCCAGTACAGAGGTCACTAAGGCCTGTGTGCTCTCTGTGCAGCCTGGGACACAGGAGAACATGAGCCAACTCCCCCGGAGATGAGAGTTTCACGGATCCACCAGCTGAGGACCCAGGCTCCGTGGATGAGGGTTAGTCATCAGGGGAGCCTCAATGTCAGAAGCACAAAGGGGTGAAATTCTGGGGCTGCCTCCCCTTCATGCCCTCAGCCACTTCACCTGGAGTTTCATTGTCCATTTAATCTCTAGGTAGCTAATTATTCGTATAGGCAGCAACAGGTAGAATGTGATACACACACAGAAAAACACAAACACAAATATATATCTGTTTTATATATATAGTGGGCCTTAAAAACTATCTCTGCCTTCTTGAAGTGTGGGTTCACCTGGAGACAAACAGCAAACATATAGAAACACAGCAGTGGAAATTTACTAGTCGTAGCAATGGTTTTAGATATATTGGTAGAGACCTATATTTATGTGTGAATATATATTATTTGTATAGATATACGGATAACTAGGTTTCAATGTCACGTAAGATGTTGGTGTGACCACACACGCGCACACACACACACACACGTATATGCAGAGAGTGGAAGAGAGAGAGAAGGAATTCAGCCGCATGGTGTAGGTTGGTTAATTACTTGACATAAATGAGAAGCAGGCAGGACTGGGCTGAGCTGTGTCGTCAGTGAAGGTCACACTTGGAGGTGACATTGAAGCTGATTCCTCAATAGGAAAAAGGGCCAGGAAGGAGGCGTGTGGAGACCCAGACAGGGAGCAACAGAGGCTCCAGAAAGAGCAGGTCCCAGAAAGGTCTCAGCCTGTTCTTCAGAAAGGAATGGCCGCTTGTCTACAGGGTGGAGGAGGAGGCAGAGGAGGAGGGGAGATGAGCTTCGGGGCCTTGGTGGATTGAGAATAGGCCAGGATGAACCGGCCAGGAAAGAGCGGCCCCAATATCTCTCTCTCTGTCTCTCTGTCTCTGTCTCTGCCTCTCTCTCCCTCCCTCTGAGGTCTGGAAAGTGCTGTAGGGTTTCAAGGAGTGGTACCAGTCATTTGACTTTTTCTGAAAAGATAAGCCCTACCCCCTCCATAGCAAATGTCCAGAACGAAGGAAGTCCACATTTCTACCTGAAGTTTACAAAACCTCAGGGAGCACGTGAGATCAGGGCTATTACGAAACCGGGTGAGAATAAAAATAGGTGATGCTGCAAATCTACTTTCACCAGCTTGGACAAAAAGGCCAATATGAGATTTTAAAAACCCAAATAAAAAATGTCAACGGCGCAGAAGAGGAGCGGTGCACATTCCCTGAGCTGCTGCGGGAGCACGTGCAAGTCCCTGTGAGGCTCAGGTGTGCGCTGAGTGCTGGGGAGGCTGCAGGGGAAAGCAGGAAGTGGGGCGGGGTGGGGGGGGGTCGGGGGTGGATGCAGGTGGCACCGGCAGCCTGGATGCTTCTCTCTCCAGGAGGGCGTCTGTTGGGGACTGGGACACAGAGGCTCTGATTCTGAGGTGGAGACACCAGGATGGGAGCAGGTGGGGCCTCCGTCTTCCACCCTCAGTCTAATCTCAACTCCTTTGAGGTTCACCCCCCGTCTCCTCCCAGCCCTCCCTGCACTTTACTCTACTGAGACTTCAGGGGTGGGAGCCAGGGGTGGGAGGTCCCTGTCTATTTCCATCTTCCCATGGGCTGGACCCTCCCCTGCGGACCCTCTCCCTTCACTCCCCTCTTTCCTTAGTGTCCAGAGCTCTGCTGGGGGCAGGGCCTGAGCTGAGCCTTTGAGCTCAGAGAGGACAGGGTCAGCGCCCTCACCTGAGACCACGAGCTCCACGGGGCCACTGGGGTGAGACAGCAGGTAGGGGTCGGAGCTGAGTGAGCCGTAGCACCTGTAGGTCCCCGTGTGGGCTGAGGTCACAGGACTCATGGGGAATTC